>NC_000004.12:109830471-109981987 GCF_000001405.40 Homo sapiens
TGGAATTGATGATTGGATGTTGGGATTGTGGGAGAAGGAGAGAAGTATCAAAGATGATGCCTAGGTTTCTTTTTTGAGCCACTGAATAGATGGTGATGCTCTTCATCAGATGGGAACACACCTGGGGAAGAACAGGTTTGAGGCAGGAGAAAAAGTCTCTCAGTTCAGTTTGAGAGGTGTCCAATAAAAAGCTGGACACATGGGTTTGAGTGTCCGGAGGCTGAAAAATATCAGGGTATAGCCTTGGGTATGAAGAAATTACTCAGAGTATGTGTTAAATGTGAAAAGAAAGGGATCTAGGACAGAAGGTTGGACAATGCACATATTTAATAAGACATAGATGGAGAAAGAAAGGCCAGGAAGTAGATCAAGAAGGGTCTGTTGAAGAGATTGCACGGAAGTCACGGAAGACAAGAAGGAAAATGTTTCAAGAGTGAAGGAGAAATCAACATCAAGTGCTACTTAGTGTTTAGACTGACTGTGAAATGGGACTTAACTAAAATCTAACAACTAGGTGATCTTTTGTATACTCATTAGAAGACCTACAGCTGTGGAAACAAGGCAGTGTGCTTGGTACAGCTGCAGAGAGAATAGAGAAAAGGGCTAAACTGTTTAGTTCATAACCCCCATTATTTCTAAGACTCCCAGAATTATAGTTCCTTTATTCTGGTTGCGTACTTGGTAGGCAGCAATTTACTGCACTGTTTTTATCTAACTTTAAAAAGTCATTGAATTTGTAGCTAGCCCAGAAAGAGTCTTCATTTCATTAAATTCTTCGGAGTATATCTTGTATACATGCTACAATCCTAGATGCTAAAAATAGGGCCAAAGAATCATCAAATTTGCTGTCATTGTGTGCTAATTATCTTGAAGGAATGATAGAAATTAAGCAATATGGGTTTTAGTTGTAGCCCACTTATTAAATAAATCTGCTGTATGTCACGTATTCAAAAACCACAGAAATCATGAGGAGCCTGAAATCCACATGAAAAGACAAGGAAAAGTAACAGTTAAATTATATAGTGTTACATAAGACTCAGTTAATCATAAGCAAGTAGTTTGGAAATTTAGGGAGGAGAGGATAGTGTGGGTAGGATAAGGCTTAGGGGCTTGAACTGAAGTTTGAAGGATGGATGGCATTTGGATAGGAAAAGAGAAGGAGCAGGGTGCTCCAAGTGGGAGAAATATGAGTCAAGCATGGTGTATCTGGGCAAAAACTAGAATGGAGAGTTCACTTGACAAGTGTAGAAATTTGCTTCTAGAGAGTGACAACAGATGAGGCAAAGAGCCTGGAATATCAGGTTGGGAAATTTGGATTGTTATCCCACAGCCAGTGGGAAATACTACAAGTTTTCGGGAGGAGAAGAACCATGGTTAAGTCTATGTTATAGCAAGCTGATTCTGCCAGAAGCAAGGAGAGGAAAAGAACAGGAATCTGGAAGGTTAGTTTAACAGGCTAAGGCAGAAGTTCTGACTGAAGTGCCAAGATATGTTAAAAGTTTTTACTGAGCTGATGTTGTATGTTGGTGCTTGGAAACTGTCCCTCTCTGACAATAGTTGGGGATTGATCACCAAGTAATTCTTTTCTTGATGGGGAACTCAACTCTATTCCTGCTTGTTGCACAACCCTCCTTTAGTCTCTAACAATCCAGTAATGATTCTAGCTTCTTGGATGAAATCTACTCACACCCCACCCCCTCACACCCCTTTAGGATCTAGTATGCCCATATCTGGCTTATGCCCTTTACAGCATGTAGGGGATGTTGAACATGCACATCCAGTACACTCGACAGTATTTCTCAGTGTAAAATAAAACAGTGGCATTCTGGTTAATAAGTTTAGTTATCTGTCTACCTCAGTGCAACCAATCTGGGGCACTGACAACACTGAGGTTCTGGAAACTTGATTTCCAGAAACTTGATTAAGGTGGTATCAGCTGTGAGGCTTCTCTATGGACCAAAAAGCTGGCTCAACTTCCTCTCTGGATAGTCAAGTCTTGTAGTATGCATTCTTCTATTGGGGTAGTGTGTGTGTGTGTGTGTGTGTGTGTGTGTGTGTGTGTTGGAATGAAGAATTTGGACATGTTGAGTTTCAAGAAATACTGGAATAGTCATATGAGCTTACATATGGTAGATGCTTAGTAAACGACAATGAGTTCAATGAAAAAAGAAGATATGGAACTGGAGCTTGTGTCATGGCTGAAAATAGTGACAAAAGTGCTGTGAGGATAGAATGATAATTGAAGCTTGAGAAAGGCAACTATCGAAAAAGAAGAGCCCCAGGCCCCAGGAAGGAAGAGGAGGAAGTTAAGCTGACAAAAAGAGGGCATGGTCAGTCATATATTTGTCCTAAAAATCAGTAGGAATGGTATGAAAGCCAATGAAGGAGTTTCAAGGACAGAACACTCAATAGCAATGACATTAAAACCAACGTTCAGTGCTGCCTTGTGCAATTACCAGATTCTTTGTGTTTTAATTTTCTCATTTCTGTTTCACAGAAGGGATGTGAAGATGTCACATACAGTTTTAAGAACAGCAGGAGCTCTTCAAATAAATGAACTAAAATAGATCTGTTATGTTTTTAAAGGGGCTTAAATATTTAATTTTGAGTCTACTTTGAAACATTCAAATTAAACAAAATGCATCATATTTTTGTGTGTGTTCTCAGGTATGATAAGTATTATCAGCAACATAATAGTTCTGGGCATCTTCATTAAGTACAAGGAACTTCGGACACCCACAAATGCAATTATTATTAACCTGGCTGTTACTGATATAGGGGTCAGTAGCATTGGCTATCCCATGTCTGCTGCCTCAGATCTGTATGGAAGTTGGAAATTTGGATACGCAGGCTGTCAGGTATTGGAGATCATTGGAATGAAAGCAAAATAAATAGATCAAATAAATGTAAATTTAAATGTCTAAAACGAATCCCAAGAGTTTAAATTGAATATTGTAGAATAATAGATACAGTGCTTTTATGGAAAACAACAGAAGTGACTAGGAATATATTCTTTAATAAGAGAAATTAAATCACCAACCATTGTTATATTTTCAAAATTCTCCCAACTCAAAGGAAGAAACAAACAAAATAACTAGCATTCAACCAAAGGAGAAGAGTGCTGATTTGCATATTCAAATAAATATTTGCATATTGCAAATTAAAAAAAATAACCTGCTTTCATCTGAAACAATAAAGTAGTGATTTAATCATAATATTATGGAAGATAGTTAAGCTACCATGTTGTTGAATTTTTTCCTATAGAAAGTCCTCCATAAGAATTGTTACTAAATGTTATTTTTTAGTAAAAAGGAAATGAGTTAATATTAATTTGCCTTAAGACAGTAAGCAAATATTACTTTTAGGCTAATTCTTTTAGCAGTTTACTATCATAACCTAAAAACTATAGAGAATAAAATGAAAGTAGTAGTGAATACTGAATAACCACGTAAGTACCAACCAGTTTTGTTAAATCTTAATGTTTCGCAATCTGTGCTTCAGATTGTTTTTCTTTTTAAAGATATAAAACTATACAGATAATGATGAAGGCCACCGCATGCCATCTTCAATCTTATTCCTCCCATGAATGTTTTTCTCTCTAATATATGTGCACATAAACCAGATACTGTCTGAATACTTCAGGTTTTGTGTAAATGATATCATATTGTTTGCATTATGCGATTTCCTTTCATTGTTAGATATTATGTTTTTGAGGTTTATCCATGTTGATGGATATGACTGTAAGTCATTCATTTTAACTGCTATATAATATTCCATTTTGTGAACGTAGAAAGCCCAATGTACATTTTCATTTTACTCTTATTGGACCTTTGTTGCCATTTTTTTTCTTTTCCTTTTTTTTTTTTTTTTTTATTTGAGATGGAGTCACGCTCCGTTGCCCAGGCTGGAGTGCAGTGGCGTGATCTCCGCTCACTGCAAGCTCTGCCTTCTGGGTTCACACCATTCTCCTGCCTCAGCCTCCCGAGTAGCTGGGACTACAGGTGCCTGCCACCAAGCCTGGCTAATTTTTTTTTTTGTATTTTTTTTTTTTTTAGTAATGACGGAGTTTCATCGTGTTAGCCAGGATGGTCTCGATCTCCTGACCTCATGATCCTCCCACCTCGGCCTCCCAAAGTGCTGGGATTACAGGCATGAGCCACTGCGCCCGGACCCCCATTTTTTTTTCTGTCACAGATAAGGCTTCAGTAAATGTTCTTACATATGTCTCCTTCTGCAATATGTGAGTTTCTTTAGCCACATTGCTTAGGAGTGGAATGGTTAAGTTGTAGAGAATGTTCATCTTCAACTTTATCAGAAGTAGCCAAATTGCTGTCCAAAATAGTTATTCAGATTATGAGAACATCTATTACTCCACATTCTCCTTAACATTTGGGATTGTCAGACTTTTAAATTTTCATTTTCTTGAGTGTGAAATGCCATCTTATAATCAGTATTTCTTTGAATATTTATTGTGGTTGTATGTCTTATGTTATAAACATTCAAATGCTAATGGGCTTGTGTGAATACCCCGTTCATCATCTGGCCATTTTTCTATTGAGTTTGTCTTTTCCTCCTGTTGAATTACCCATCTTCTGAATACTAGTCTTTTGCTGGTTTGTGGTTGTTCTGCACTCTGTTCATAGAGTGTTGTAAAGAAATTTCACTGTAAGTCTTAAAATTTTCAAAAAAGTCCATTTTAGTTAATGAAATTACAAATTACTTTCCATAAATTCTTTTATTAAACCAGTTATAATTTGACAATGAAGATGTATTTTAAAGTAGTAAAGTAAAAAACCTTTAGTATATTTGAGATATATTCTAACAATGGACAAAAATTTAATGTTTCTTGGGAGGGTGTTTAGAATGGTAGAGTCTTTTCAATTTTGGTTTTCAGGTTTATGCTGGATTGAATATTTTTTTTGGAATGGCAAGCATTGGATTACTCACGGTCGTGGCTGTGGACCGATACCTGACCATCTGCCTTCCTGACGTAGGTACAACACTTTTCTCAGCTTTCTTAATGAATCCATTTCTTGACTAATGGCCACTCAATATATATATACGCTAAAATATAAACCTAATGGTTTGTAGTTAGGGTCAGTTTTATTTCTCTGCCAATAATTGTTCAAATGTTTCAATGGCTTCTTATTGTACTTAGAATAAAATCCAAATTTCATAAGGCTATTCACACTTTGAGGTACGGTCCAAGCCCAAAGTGAGGTTTTCATACCTGCTGTTTTGCTAGGTTTGGAAAGCTACTCTTCCTGCTTATCCTCTGGCTGATTCTTTTCTCATTTAGGTTTCAGCTTAAATGTCTTTTTTTTTTTCCAGAATGTGAACTTATGTAGATAGGCTTAGTAAAAGGGAGAATATTTGTGTTACTTTTATTAGGTGTTGCACTCATGTTTTGGCTCCTAAGGCCAATCAAAGTGCTCTGTAAAGAATCTACTTGATAACACTTACAAATCAAGCAAGTTTAAAAAGTGAGTCCCATTAATGGCAAATGTTGCTAATATTTCCTGTGCTTGATAATAGGGAGAAGAATGACCACCAACACTTACATCGGCTTGATTCTGGGAGCCTGGATCAATGGCCTGTTTTGGGCTTTGATGCCTATCATAGGGTGGGCTAGTTATGCCCCAGATCCTACTGGTGCTACGTGTACCATAAACTGGAGGAAAAATGATAGGTAAGAGACAAGTTTACACTTTATAATCAAATGCTTCTAATGTAGACATTTTCTCACCCTTTCAAATTTAAGCTCAGATCATGTGTTCCTCATACAGAAGGTGGCGAAGCACTTCCCTGGTAGTGATGATGTGATTCTCAGTTCAAAGACGGAATTGAGAAAAGTGACTTATGCTTGTTTGCAAGTAAAGGTCATCCAGCTCCCTTTGTCTCCTTTATCCCATTCCTTCCTCCCTCCCCTGTGTTCTCTCTTAAGGCAGCAATGCAGGGTACCAATCACCCTTCCAATATTTGCACATTTCAAAGGTAGGATCATGAGCAGGAAAAGGGTTAATGAAGCTAGACAGAGTGTGCAGTTCTGGCAAAAGCCCAGGCTGCCTCCCTGCTGTCTTTTCAAGATGGTCTGGTGTTCCAGCACATTCTGAGAACTGCGTAGCAAAAGCACAGTCACTGCAAAGATTTGCCTGCTAGTTAGTGAGGCTTCTTTATATTTTCCAGGAACAAGATAATAATTTAGTTCATTAGAGGAAATGAAGGATGACATAAACATGAACAGAAAATTTCTAGATCTCAAACCTGATCTAAATTTTTTTCTGTAGATTCAAAAAGTAAAGGCTGGGCACAGTGGTTCATGCCTGTAATCCCAGCACTTTGTGAGGCTGGGGCAGGAAGATCACTTCAGCCCAGGAGTTTGAGACCAGCCTGGGCAACATATTGAGACCCTGTCTCTACAAAAAAAAAAAAAAAAAAAAGCAGAGGGTGGTGCGGGGGGTGGGAAATTAGCTGGCTGTGGTGGTGTATGCCTGTGGTCTCAGCTACTCGGTTGGCTAAAATGGAGATTGGCTTGGGCTGGGGAGTTCAAGGCTACAGTGAGACGTGATTGCACCGCTGCACTCCAGCCTGGGTGACAGAGCAAGATTATGTCTTGAAAAGAATTAAAAGTAAATAATTTAGGCTTTATAGCCCAGATGTTCTCTATCACAGCTCTTCAACTCTGTCATCATCCTGTAAAAGCAGCCATAGCCAGTATGTAAATGAGGGTACATGGCTGTGTTCCAATAAAACTTTATTTACAAAGATGAGTGATAGGCTGAAATAGGCCTACAGTCCATAGTTTGCCAATTCCGGGCCTAAATAAACTAAAAGTCAAATATACTTCTAAAATTATTTAGCAATATAATGACTACCAGTATTGTTTTTAATAATTATCTCCTCTTTCTCCTTCCCCCACTTAGGACATTAAATGAGCAATCATGATTGCCTTTTCTTATTTTCAGATCTTTTGTGTCTTACACCATGACAGTTATTGCGATAAATTTTATTGTGCCCTTGACAGTGATGTTTTACTGCTATTACCATGTCACGCTATCCATTAAACATCACACTACCAGTGACTGCACTGAGTCCCTCAACAGAGACTGGTCAGATCAGATAGATGTAACAAAGGTAAGAGATCAAAATCCTTGAAAAATTGTTGTCATGGAGCTTTTACCCACTCATAGTTGAAAGAGTCCCTGGGACCACCGCAGTCTTCTCTCCCTCATCTCCAATTCTCACTCCCCAGCTCTTTCTTCTGTGTTTGCTTCCTCATTTCTTTTTTTGCTTTTATTTTTGTTTTTTGCTTTTGTTTTTTGAAATGGAGTTTCACTCTTATCGTCCAGGCTGGAGTGCAATGGCACGATCTCGGCTCACTGCAACCTCCGCCTCCCGGGTTCAAGTGATTCTCCTGCCTCAGCCTCCCCAGTAGCTGGGATTACAGGCACCTGCTGCCACACTTGGCTAATTTTTTTTGTATTTTTAGTAGAGATGGGGTTTCACCATGTTGGGCCAGGCTGGTCTTGATCTCTTGACCTCAGGCGATCCACCTGCCTTGGCCTCCCAAAATGCTGGGATTACAGGTGTGAGCCAATGCGCCTGGCCACTTGCCTTCTTATTTCTGAATGATATGCTGTTTGCTCTTTTGGATATTTTTGTTGGTCATCATCTCTTGATTTCCTACTATGGATGATGAGGATTTATTCTCTTATACCACCCACCTGCCCAACTCCTCCTCCACACCTTTCTCTCTCCTTACCTGTCAGTATAATGTTAACAATATTTGGTTAGATAAAGAGGCTCTTTCTCTGCTCTCAGTATGTTTAAACACACCACAGATGTGATGAACCTTATCCTCTTCTTGGAGCCATCCTCCTGGTTCCCTGGGGCCTCTTGCTCTGCTTTGAACTGATTGCTCCTGAGGACCACTGCTCAGAAAGCCAACATCCTCAGGCCTCCCTTCATCACCAGCTCAGGATGCTTTCACCTCCTTCCAGGGTCGAATCCCCTGTTTTCTGGAATGCTTGTCTTCCTTTTTTTTTTTCTTAGTTTATTTCCTCTGATTTGGTGGAGCACATTCTTCAATTAATTCCTGAGGTTATGGGAGAGGTAAATTTTTTAAGACTTTGCATGAATGAAAATGTCTTAATTTTACTATCATGTTTGACTGATTGTTTGCCTGGTCTAGAATTCTAGGTGCAAAAGTAATATTCAAAGAGTTTTGAAGGCATTGCTCTACAGTCTCCTAGCTTCCAGCATTGCTACTACAAAGGCTGATGGCATTCTGGTGGGTGATGCTCTGTGGTGATCTGTGGGTTCTCTCTGGAAGCTTATAGGATCTTCTCTATGTCTCTAGTTTTCTGAAAATGTATACTGATGCACCTTGGTATGAGTATTTATCCAGTGCTGGGTACTTGGTGAGTACTTTCAGTGTGGAGACTCCAGTCTTCCTCTTCTAGGAGATTTCTAGTATCATTTCTCTGATTATTTCAGTCCCTCTGTTTTTTCTTTTCTTCTCTTTCCCTGGAATTCCTTTTATTTAGATATTTAATCTGCTAGATTTACCTTCTAATTTTCTTAAATTTTCTCTCCTATATTGTCTATTTTTGTTTGTTTCTTTTGTGGTTGTTGTTTGTTTCTTTTTGTTTCTACTTTCTGGGAGATTTGCTTAACCATATCTAGGTCTAGGATAAGGGTGAGGATAGTGAAGGCCAACCCTTGGGTGCAAAATTCAAGCAAGCACCAAAAAACTCATTAATAAAAAAAGTGGTTTAATGTAGTACTTAAAAAACAATATTAATGTAAAAATTATGTTGAACAAAATAGAAATTTTAAATAAAAACAGGATCCGACCCTGCACTGATATAATTCACCTGATTCACCTCCCCCTGTTCCCAGCCTGATAATATCATACAACCTTTCTGTAACATTTTTTACATTCTACTCTCACTTTTACAGATAGGAGAAAAACCATTTTTTTTAAATTTCCAACTTTTATTTTAAGTTCAGGGGTACATGTGCATGACGTGTAGGTTTGTTACATAGGTAAACGTGTGCCATGGTGGTTTGCTGCACAGACTATCCAGGTATTAAGCCCAGCATCCATTAGCTGTTCTTCCTGATCCTCTCCCTCCTCCCTCCCTCTACCCTTCAACAAGCCCCAGTGTGTGTTGCTTCCGCTGTGTGTCCATGTGTTCTCATCATTTAGCTCCCACTTATAAGTGAGAACATAAGGTATTTGGTTTTCTGTTCCTGCATTAGTTTGCTAAAGATAATGGCCTCCAGCTCCATCGATGTCCCTGCAAAGGACATGATCTCATTCCTTTATGGCTGTATGGTATTCCATGGTGTATATGTACCACATTTTCTTTATCCAGTCTATCATTGATGAGAATTTAGGTTAATTCCATGTCATGTCCATGATTGCTATTGTGAATAGTGCTGCAATAAACATACATGTGCATGTGTCTTTATAATACAATGATTTATATTCCTTTGGGTATATACTCAGTAAAAGAATTGGTGGGACAAATGGTATTTCTGTCTCTAGGTCTTTGAGGAATTGCCACACACAATCTTCCACAATGGTTGAACTAAGTTATACTCCCATCAAGAGTGTAAAAGTGTTTTTTTCCCACAACCTCACCAGCATCTGTTATTTTTTGACTTTTTATTAGCAGCTATTCTGACTGGTATGAGATTGTATCTCATTGTGGTTTTGATTTGCATTTCTCTCATGATCAGTGATGAGCTTTTTTTTTTTCATGTTTCTTGGCTGCATGTATGTCTTCTTTTGAGAAATGCCTGTTCATGTCCCTTGCCCACTTTTTAATGGGGTTGCTTGTTTTTGTCTTATAAATTTGTTTAAGTTCCTTGTAGATGCTGGATATTAGACCTTTGTCAGATGCACAGATTGCAAAAATTTTCTCCCATTCTGTCGGTTGTCTGTTTACTCTGTTTATAGTTTCTTTTGCTGTGTAGAAGCTCTTTAGTTTAATTAGATCCTATTTGTCAACTTTTGCTTCTGTTGCAATTGCTTTTGGCATCTTCATCATGAAATCTTTGCCTGTGCCTATGTCCTGAATGGTATTGCCTGGGTTCTCTTCTTGAGTTAAAAACCATTTTTATTGATAAAACAGCTATTTTATACTCTATTCTCTCCTTGTTTTATGGATGTATATCTCCTGTTATTTCTGTGATATTATGTATATATTTATACTTCCTTCTGTTTACCACATATTTTTGTTTCCCCTGAGTTCTTGCACTGTTTTTTTTTTTTTCTTTGCCTGTCAATGTAAAAGTTTTCTTAATGTCTGGTGGTCAGTGATTGTCCCTTCATACTTAAGAGTAATGCATTAAAAATGTTGATTGTAAGCATGGAGATGCTCATTAGCAAGATGTTTCTTTTGGGGGAATTTCTAATTGTCTCTGTAGTTATTATTACTATTATGACCACCATCATCATTATTATTATTTGCTCTCACTGTGATTATCTGCTAATCAAAAAAATTTTTTTTCTAACTTCCAAACTCAATCTGGAAACAAATACAATCCTATCTTGAGCTCAGTGAATTCTAGCACAGGCCATTTCTGCTGGATATATATTACACATGATGCAGATAATTTTGTAAAGGAGCTCTCTTGTATCTTGTTTAAATGGAAAAATTATATTTTTCATGTTGCTCCCTCCTGATTGCCTGCTAAAATGATGGAATGGAGGTTTGGGGGAATTTCTAACTGTCTAGGTAACTATATCTTTAGGTATTTTATTCTGGGCAGATCAGTTCCTTTCATGTTCCTGGGTGGGAGGCACAAGTCTATCTCCAAGTTTTTTCACACTCAGTGCAGGGAGGGAGCAGCATACAGGTACCCCTCTTTTCAATACAGTACTGAAGTGCTTAGCTGAACCTGGTGTCCCTGTGTTCTGAGTTTCCCAAATTAGCCTTCTTTTTTCTTTATACTGAGCCTCTGGAAGTCTTCTAGGGAGAGGAAGGGGAAGTTACTGAGTAGACTGAGTGGACAGGGGTAAAGATTTGGAAGTCTACTTTCTTTGTAGATTTCAACCAGTTCTATTTTGAGCTCCATGTGCACCCCCACATCTAGAGTTTTCTGGTACCCTTTGTTACTAGAATTTCTGTAGCTCTGTAGTATGGATTGGTCTGTATCTGGTTTTCCCTCATAGTTGGCTCTTTTTAACGTTTATTTATTTACTTATTTATAAAATTATTCTCATGTTTCTTACATAATTTGCCACTTATCCAATGGCCATTTTTTCCATTAAAAATATGTATTATCTAATCTCTGATTCTCTGTCCTTATGGTTTTATGTCTTCTTTAACCTCTGTTCCATAATTTTAGCAGGCAATCTAGGGAAGCAATATAAAAATATAATTTTTCCATTTAAACAAGATGCAAGAGATCTCCTTTACAAAATTGTCTGCATTGTGTGTAACATATATCCAGCAGAAATGGCCTGTGTTAGAATTCACTGAGCTCAAGATAGGATTGTATTTGTTTCCAGATTGAGTTTAGAAAGTTAGAAAGTTACTTTTGTTAATTTAGCAGGTAATCCCAGTAAGAGCAAATAATAATGATGGTGATAATAATAATAATAGCCATGCCAGGAGTTCATAGCATAATGATGTGAAGTGGGGTGGGGTGGGTTTTTATCTGTCTTTCATCAAAGTCAGCTTTTGTACTCTCCCCTAGCACGCAGAAAGAAAGAGGGCATTCCTTATGTGTGTGTACCATTCTTAAAAGCAATGTTATATATTCTTGATATACCCATTTCACAAGGTCTTATTATCATCGAGGACTTCAGGCACTTGAAAAAAGAACATTGAAGGCAGAAAAAAAACTCAACTATTTCCTTTATGTCATCAAAAACATAAACATATTCAAATTCCAACCCAGATAGATTTTTACCCAACTTTAGATATATTAATATTTAAATATTTTAGGTATTGGGCTTGGTGAATATTTATTTCTTTTCAGATGTCTGTGATCATGATCTGCATGTTTCTGGTGGCATGGTCCCCTTATTCCATCGTGTGCTTATGGGCTTCTTTTGGTGACCCAAAGAAGATTCCTCCCCCCATGGCCATCATAGCTCCACTGTTTGCAAAATCTTCTACATTCTATAACCCCTGCATTTATGTGGTTGCTAATAAAAAGTAAGTAATGTCTAAAATGCTTGCAGTACAAAATAAAACTGATATAAAAAGAATGTTAAGACTTCTTGGGAGAGAAGTGACAGAAACCCACTTCAATCTAGCATAAAGGTCATTTGCCTCATGTGACTGGAGCAGCATCTAGGACCTTAAATGCTTAGAGCTCCAGATTTGTTACAGACTCTTCCCACACAGTGGCAGAGATGATTGTGGGCAACCCCAGACCCAAGTTCTACCAGCTAAGCATCCCCAAATGCCAATTGCATCTCAGATGGCTCTCTGGCAGAAAAGAGCCTGGGATGTCAGTGGTCAGCTTAGTTCAAATGGTTACCCCCACCCCAAATACATGGAATAGTGGTTTCCAAAGAAAAGAGGGATTCTATAACTGGAAAATGGACAAGGCAACATTGGGCTCACTTGGTGGGTAGCACAGATGTATATTTACAAGAAATAAGACATATCATTCAAATGCAAGGGAAAAGTTTAGTCCCAACATAAAAGGCATCTGGATACTAGAGAATTCTTACCTCCTCTCTTTTTTGGGTTTCTTAGCAAAATGTTCCTTTTCTGCCTCCTCAGTGAAGTTTAGACGGAGTCTCTCTCTGTCACCCAGGCTGGAGTGCAGTGGTGTGATCTCAGCTCACTGCAACCTCTGCCTCCAGGTTCAAGCAATTCCCTGCCTCAGCCTCCCGAGTAGCTGGGATTACAGGTGCCCGCCACCACACCCGGCTAATTTTTGTATTTTTAGTAGAGATGGGGTTTCACCATCTTGGCCAGGCTCGTCTTGAACTCCTGACCTCGTGATCCGCCCGCCTCGGCCTCCCAAAGCGCTGGGATTACAGGCGTGAGCCACCGCGTCCAGCCGAGGTCAGGTAATTTTATCCTGGAATGGCAATGTTTGGAAAAGCAGCTTTAGCTACAGGTATGTGAAGAAACATAAAATTTTACAGACCAAACAGACCACATAAGAAGAATGAAGAACACATTTTAAATTCAGAATCTGCTGGTAGTTCTTTTGGAAAATTCTTGCTAGGAAGAACAGATGGATGAAATACACATTGTTAGTTCAAATAAACAACTCATGGCACTTGACATTAGTAGCATCCTTTTAAATACATATAATTATTTACTTTTAGTAGATGTCTTCAATCTGTAGAATCAACAGTGCAAAATTGACCTTTAACTGTACCATATACCTTATATATTTATAAAGTTTCTCAACAGGAAATCTATAGAATCAATAGTGCAAAATGGGCTTTAACTGTACCATATACTTTATATATTTATAAAGGTTCTCAACAGGACATGTTAAAGTTGGAGGCAGAAATTTATCCAGAGATGTAAATTGGCAGTAGTGGCATCTTAGCCATATTTGAAAATGCTTTAGAAGTTCCAAATCATTATGGGTTAATGCCAGATTTTCCTTTTTTTATCGTAGGTTTCGGAGGGCAATGCTTGCCATGTTCAAATGTCAGACTCACCAAACAATGCCTGTGACAAGTATTTTACCCATGGATGTATCTCAAAACCCATTGGCTTCTGGAAGAATCTGAAATAAGATAAAAGGACACACTATCAAAACACTTTAGTTTTTTGACAATGCTTTTCTTTTAAATATGAGCCCATTTAGATCAAGTGCAGACATGGATCATTGTCCTATGAGAGTGTAAGCTCCTCAAGCACAGCTCGTGCTTCTGTTTGTGCACTCTGGCTGCTGTAGTGTATGCTTCTCTGTGTCCTGATATATCAACTTATTGCTCATCTCCTTTGATGAATTAGGCATCAGAGGTTAAGGTCCCCTTTCTTTCTCCCTATTATGGCATGCATTACACTGTACTGATGACCTTTAACTTGCCTGGCTCCTCCATTAGAATAAAAGCAGTCACTAATTTAATGTTAGAATAAATGAATAATTCTAGATAATTACTGAAATGAGTTGTTGGATGTTCCCAGTTAGAATAGAAAGCATTTTTTGAATTTCAACATTTTAACATTTAAATCAATTAACTTATGTTATTAAACAAAAATAAATGAACATTAAACATGATTGTTTCTAAATAAAATGTTAAGTCAATGCATATATATTATATAGCATTATGACCCCTGTGCATATTTTGATGTTTTCTGCAATTTTGAGTACCATTTTTCTGCATATATATTCCATATATTTGCCAACAGAGTTAACTTCAATCAGAGTGGAGATTTTTATATGTTTGTTCTTTGATGTATCCTTAGCACATATACCCAATTCTGTCTGGCATGTAGTAGGCACTCAATAAATATTTTTTCAATGTCAAATGAATTTGTAGACTTCACATATTTGTCATTCTAAATGACTGTTAAGCATAATACAATATACCATTGTTTAAATAGTAGACATTTAAATTGCTTTCCAGTTTTTAGTTTCATGGATATACCACTGAAAATATTTCAGTGCAAATATATTTTTTCTTTTGGAGAAGTTATTCTATTTGAGTGTTTCTTTTCAGACTAGAAATACTGGATACAAATACAAAAACACTATTATTTTTGCTAGCTTGCTTTATGGAAAGATTGAATTAGTTTTCACTGATACTGGCAGTGTCTAAGTGAGCTTTTCACTGCATATTCCTGCTCATAGTCCTGTATATATTTAAATTATGAGTTATATACTCTAACTTAAAGTCATTTTATTTCACATTTCTTTAACTGCTAGTGAGGCTGTGTATCTTTGCATATTGTATTTTTTAATCTCTATTTTTTCTTCCTATAAATTGTCTCTTTAGCACCTTTGGCTACATATTAAGTAAAATACAGGTATTAGTTTTATGTGTACAGTCTTCTACGTATATGGAAAGGTAAACTGTCATAGTAATCTACCTTATCTCCTAACTCTCTGACTTTCCCACTGCAATCAATTCATACAATACAACCTCAATCAATACAATTTCATAGCTAATCTTTTAAAAATAAAGTTCCAATGCCCAAATTCTTTGGCTAAAAACCTTCACTCACCCACCAAGTAAGTATAAACCCCTCAGCTGGATTTTCAAGGCCCTCTTTAACATACTTCAAGAGGGACTTTTCAGCTTTTTGTCTCTCTTCATGGCCAAATTAAAATGTCTAGTGTTCCGAGAGAGCTCTGAATGCTTTGTGTCACTAGGTCTTCGCTCATCCTGTCTATCATAGCCGAGCCTTTTTACAGGGAAAGCATAGTGAAATCTGCACCCAAAGTCCCAGAGCCATTAAAAGGCCAGGACAACTTCTGTAATAATGTCTAGAAAAATGGACTCAGAGTTCCAATTTGCAAGGCTGTGAACTCATTTCCAGCGATAAGCAAGAAGCAACTTTGCCTCAAATATAAAGGACTTCAACAGTGTACAGTAATTATATTTCAATGCTATATTATTTATTTTTTAATTTGCTTATATGATAAAACTAGGAAGACCTGGCTTTGGTTACATAGTTCCCTCTGACCTCTTAGTTTGCTAATTTCTGATGTTTTTATCTTTAAACAGCGTTTCTATGCTCAATTTGGCACGTCTTGCTTCCATGTAAGTCATAACATCCATGAAATTAATGATTCAAAAACCCTTGGTCACTTGGCGATCAGAGCTTTACCCATCCAATTTCTTTTTCCTCTTGTGCTCAAAAACTCGAGGCCACCACCTCTCACTGCATCTCCAGCACTGGGAAACCTTAGGGTTGTTTTTAAATCCCTTCTTCATCCTTACGTCTAATCAATCATTTCTCTCTCCTGGGTGTTTCCTGAAGCTGCATTATCCTAACGATTACTAGCACAGCAGTCAAGGCTGTAGCCTAATGGCTGCTCACCTGGACTATAACCACAGACATCCACCTGAAGCCTCCTCCTTTCTTCTTGCTTGCTCTATCTAGAAGCTTCCTCCTTTCTTCTTGCTTGCTCTGTCTAAACCTTTTCTCCACACAGCCGCCAGAGAATTCTTCCTGAAAGGATAAGCTGATATGCCACTCCCAAGCCTAACTTTTATTGCTCCCATTGCCTGTAGGCTGAGAGTAAGCTCTCCATAGGGAATCTAAGGGTTTCCTTGATAACTTCATCCCCGCTTATCTCTCCAGCTTTATCTTTTTTAACTTCCTGCCTCAAAATCTTATGCCTGAGCAACAAGAAGTGCTTGAAATTCTCTGAGGACAATACACTGTTTCTCACTTCCCTCCCTTTGTTCCCACTATTCCCTTTGCTTGCAATGCAACTTTCTGGATTTTCCCATAATACATCGTCATGCACCCTGTAAAAGGCAGCCAGGCACCACCCACCCTAGGAAGTCTTGCTTGACTAACACAGGCTGGGTTTGATGCTCTTTTCTCGTGCTTCTTTAGTAGTCTGTTCCTCCCTTTATCGTGTGAGTTCCTTATGTGTAATAACTGTCTTATTTATCTTTGTACCCCTCAATGCTCAGCAGAGAATAAGTACTCAGTAAATATTTGATGAACAAACGAGTTGTGCAGAATCTGAAAACCTGCAGTATTTTATTTTAATTGAGCACAGTTTTTCAGACTGTATGGTTTTTATATACATTCTATTGGTTTTAAATAACATTTTCTATAATATGCTTATTTTTATAGAATTAATTTTCTTTTAAAAAGGTTTTTAGTTAAAGAGGATGGTTAGAAGCAGCCACTAAGAAGGTTAAATGACGTATATTTATTACTTAAATCCTTGATTGTCCCTGTGGATTCTCCACTCTATGAGTGTGGAGATACTTTTAAATTTAATTACATTTAATTTTTATTTTCTGACAGAGCCTAATATAGCTGAAAGAATTAGAGTTGATCTTCAAATATGGCTTTGATGCTGATAACTTGGGAAACTATTGAACAGAGATAGTTGCCTGCATTAAAAATAAATGTGCTGGGATAAACCTTCCACACACTGAGATGACCTGGAAGAGTCTCAGAACACGTTCTTATTGGAGAACTTAGTCCTGCCACATCAGTAGTGGATTGAAGCATTTTCCCTATAAAATCTGTGTAACTGACTTGTTTTACTTTACTTTTAGAGATAGCCAGTATGTGGCAACATCGATAACTCTTTTCTAAATCATTTTTATGTCATGTGCTTCTATTTTTAAAACTAAATTTTGTAAAACTGAATTAGTAACACATTCTGGCAAAAACCAAATGCAAAACATTTTATAATGTTGTAACATGTAAATAATCTACAGAATTTTCTTGCATCTGCCAAGACTGAATTATTTTACATTAAGTATATTTTTAAGGTGTAGTGGCAAGTACATCCAGAAGAAAGGGATTTAATAGGCATTTTCTTGCAAATCTAGTTACGGGTAACTATTGAAATTGCTTGTCATGTGTTTGATTTTCATTTTCCTTAGAATGTGTTACTTTGCTGAAACTGTATTCAAAGGCTGGATCAATTGATCTCCTGCAAGATACACTTGAAGGTTAAGTAACTACAGATCTCAGCTAATCCCGTGTAATCTGCTGTTACTAAATGGCTGTTTGTATTCCAGGCATACCAGGTTCTGAATGCTTAGGATTCGGTTTTTACCTTTTGTTTAAATAACCTCTAAAAGGAGCAATGCATCTCTTTGCATGTCTGTGCATTGTCCTTAGCTTTTTGGAAGGAGTGGGCTGTTTGTGTCCTTCACAGTGCACCTGTGATTATCACGGCAGAAATGACGGCTCAGGATCAAGGTATGCTCCTCTGCTTGTTACTAAGTGTTCTCATTATTTTGACAAAAAGGACCCAAACAAGAAAGCCTACTTTTGAAAGCAAATGTTTGGGGATCAGAAATCACAGAAGAGAATGTTTAGTGTCCATAAGCTTTAACTTAATTGTTTTAACACTGGTCACCTACTCCTTCACTGTTTTCGTTTTGAGCAGTTTAACTCTCAAAGGCCTCTCAAGGTATTGGAAATTTCTAAACACATTCTATGTTCCAAAATTTTTATTATGCTCATGTTCACAAATTGTTGCTTGAGATCAAACGATTTAAAGGTGCATGGCCAGCTAAGCCCTTGATTATAGAAAGGCTAAGAGGGCAGGCTGAACAGGAGCTGCGTGACATGCTCAGATCCTTTGCTTTCATGGCTCTCCACTTCCTTTGAGAACTATTCATGCCAATTGAATGGCAGAAAGAAAGATCTCAAGAGTGAAGTTAGAGAGGTTAATAGTTAGAATTTTTCATTTTAAGCTGATGGAATTTACAAAATAAAGAAGATTGAAAAAGATACTGTCTGTTTCAGACACTGCAGGATCTCACAGAAGTTATTCAATCTCTAGGTTGCTTTAGCATCTACTTGTGTAGTGAGAAGAGTTATTTACTTATATTGTGCATGAGGCCTTTTAGATATGTTAAATGCAAAACAGAACTCTTGCTAGCTAAACACAGTAGAACTTGAATTTTTTTTTTGAGAGGTTATTTAATAACAAAATCAGGTTATTTGTGACTTGGTTGAAGTAAACGGTGTCTCAGATAAAATAATTTGTTAAAAGAGTTGCCCAATTTATGTCTTATAACTTTAAACAAATAAATAATAATAAATAAGACATATTTGTGAAAAGCTTATCTTGTTATTGTATAAACTTTAGTTAACCAATTCTTGGTATTTTTTGAGATATTCACTGGGTGGTTAAAGACAATGAAGAGAATGTAGCAAGTTAAAGACCTACTTGTCCAGGGACGTGTAGCAGTGAAGGATCAGGCCAGGGTACTTTTGAGAAACTATCACAGAAATGTTTCCTTCTTTGTGGTGACCCCATTATTGATGGATTTTATAAAAATTATAGAATATTAGGCCTGGCAAGAAATAATCTAGTTCAACCCCTTGTCAGTTTATAAGTGAAGAAACTAAACTGTATGGAGACCAAATGACTTGTCCTAGATCATATAATTGTGTTGATGTAGTAACTAAGTTCATAAAGATGCTAGATCTTTTAGCGTACAAACTAGACTTTCTTCTATGATAGCATGCTGAGATACTTATTTTATTTATTTATTTATTTTGAGACAGAGTCTCACTTTGTCAGCCAGGCTGGAGTGCAGTGGCACAATCTCGGCTCACTGCAACCTCCATCTCCCGGGCTCAAGCAATTCTCCTGCCTCAGCCTCCCAAGGAGCTGGGATTACAGGCGTGTGCCACCATGCCCAGCTAGTTTTTGTATTTTTAGTAGAGATGGGGTTTCATCATGTTGGCCAGGCTGGTCTCAAACTCCTGACCTCAGGTAATCCACGCACCTCGGCCTCCCAAAGTGCTGGGATTACAGGCGTGAGCCACCGCACCCGGCCAATACTTTCTTAATGAGTAGAAACTGCTACCATTCTGGTATAAAGTAGTACTGAAATCTGTGATATAAAATAGAGATGAAAAGTAAGAGATATCCCTAGAGGATTTCAAAGATTCCATGAGGTCTTTTCCTGAAGTTATAGAAAGGACATAACACTACCACTACATTGCAGCTTTATGCTGCTTACGTGTGTATACATTATGAGCTGGTTTTTCAAATCCACTGATTTAATGTCATATGTTTCACTAAAGGGTTATTTTATTGTAATTATTTACTAAATTTATAGTGTGCTATAATTTAGATGATACTTTGCAAAACTTCTTATTGTTCATTTTTCATAATTCAGATGAGTATCTCATAGGAGATAAGTCTTTTTCCAGGCTAAAATGAATCTAAATTCTCAGATTCCTCATACTTTAAATTTACACATGGGACAGTGTTGTCTTCCTTCCTTCCTTCCTTCCTTCCTTCCTTCCTTCCTTCCTTCCTTCCTTCCTTCCTTCCTTCCTTCCTTTCTTTCTTTCTTTCTTTCTTTCTTTCTTTCTTTCTTTCTTTCTTTCTTTCTTTCTTTCTTTTCTATTTTGAGATGGAGTCTCGCTCTGTCACCCAGGCTGGAGTGCAGTGGCGTGATCTTGGCTGACTGCAACCTCTGCCTCCCAGGTTCAAGCGATTCTCCCACCTCCGCCTCCTGAGTAGGTAGGATTACAGGTACCTACCACCGCGCCTGGCTAATTTTTGTATTTTTAGTGGAGTCGGGGTTTCGTCATGTTGGCCAGGCTGGTCTCAAACATCTGACCTCAGGTGATCTGCCCACCTTGACCTCCCAAAGTGCTGGGATTACAGCCATGAGCCACATTGCCCAGCTGGGACATTGCCCAGTGTTGTTTTTCTATGCCTGTTTTATATGTGCCAACAAACAAGATCAAAATGTGACTTGCTCAAGGTCAACTCCTAATTTCTGGTTTATTCCTTAGGCAGAAAGCAATGTGCAAGTCACGTTATTAAAACAGAGTTCAACTTTAAACATGTACTGTGAACACTTTTTTTTTTCACCTAAATAAATTATTCTCTGAACAAGGATTGATTTATTATTTTAACAGGGGGTTCTTTTAAAATGGGCCATTTCCTAAAGAGGTGCACTTTAAGTTGGACAGAAGTGGTTTTGAAAGGTGGCTGTGAAACCCACTAGCTGGGTGACCTTGGAAAGTTACTGAATGTTGGTGGGCCTCAGTTACTTTCCATGTAAAACCGAGGTTGTTGACAGTAGCAGCAAATACCTACTGAGTACCTATTCTGTGCCAGGAAGTTGTAGAGTTTTACATCCATTGTAATTAATCATCCATAACAGTGCCATATGGGAAAATGAGGTTGAGACACTGGTGAAGTGGTTTTCCATGGCCACAGAGGAGGTGGCAAACCTTAGACCTTGGTTAGATTTGAACCAAGGCCCTCCTCGGCCTCCCAAAGTGCTGGGATTACAGGCGTGAGCCACTGCCCAGCTGAAAATTGATACATTTTTCAAATGAGAAGTATTTTTTTCAAATGGGTGTTGGAAAGTGAGTTTCCTCACATTGTTCATGTTGTGACACTAGGTTGGTGCTATGTAATGACATGGATATGAACGAGCTGCCTACGAACCTCCCCGTGGACACTGTGAAGCTTCGCATAGAGAAGACTGTCATCCGCAGAATCTCTGCGGAGGCCTTCTATTACCTGGTGGAGCTCCAGTATCTCTGGGTGACTTACAATTCCGTGGCCAGCATTGACCCCAGCAGCTTTTACAACCTGAAGCAACTGCATGAGTTGCGCTTGGATGGGAATTCTCTGGCTGCTTTCCCTTGGGCATCTCTGCTGGACATGCCCCTTCTGAGGACCCTGGACTTGCACAATAACAAAATAACCAGTGTGCCAAATGAGGCGCTCAGGTATCTGAAGAACCTTGCCTACTTGGATTTATCAAGCAACAGACTCACCACATTGCCACCAGATTTCCTGGAGAGCTGGACTCATTTAGTTTCAACACCTTCTGGAGTCCTGGACCTTTCCCCAAGCAGGATTATTCTTGGTAAGCTCGCAAGCCTCTGGGCTTTTCATCTATAGTTACTTTGCTATGCATAGCTTTTTTTGTCCAGTCTTTTAAAATTTGTTGGATTTGGCTTTTTACTCTGTAATTGCACTTTTACTGGAATAGTACCTTATTAGTTAACCTAGGTCAAGTTACCCTTTCTCCTGTGTAAGGTGTAAGAGCTGTGTGTGTGTGCATGCATGTGTGTACATACATGTGTGGAAAAGTGGAGAAGAACTTGCATCATAAATGGAGAGAGGACCATTTCTCTTAAAGAGCATCCAGCTGAGAGACAGAATCAACCAACTGCATAGACTCTTGTGAGCACAGCATTGCTCCATACTCTGGTACAAAGTTCTGCTCAGTTTGCTTTTCAACTCTTCATTAGGTTCTTCAGGAGCAGGAGAGGGGCACTGGCATCTTTATGCGATAGCAGTGGCTTCATTAGTTAGGAAGAATAGCTTCTAAATTTCCTTAATCTAAAAAGAAATGGTGGAAACACCAGTTATTTTACTGGCCCCAAATGGTTCTCCTAACTGATTTGGTCTCTTAGTTTAGCTGTGACTAGTTTTGGAATTTTGAACTTGGTCTTGTTTAGGTTCTATGTGTATTTCTCTGGTTCTTTTTATTATTATTATTATTATACTTTATGTGCAGAACTTGTAGGTTTGTTACATAGGTATAAACATGCCATGGTGGCTTGCTGCACCCATCAACTTGTCATCTACATTAGGTATTTCTCCTAATGCTATCCCTCCCCTAGACCCCTACCCCACAACAGGCCCCAGTGTGTGATGTTCCCCTCCCTGTGTCCATGTGTTCTCATTTTTCAACTCCCACTTATGAGTGAGAACATGCAGTGTTTGGTTTTCTGTTTCTGTGTTAGTTTGCTGAGAATGATGGTTTCCACTTTCATTCATGTCCCTGCAAAGGACATGAACTCATGCTTTTTATGGCTGCATAGTATTCCATGGTGTGTACATGGCACATTTTCTTTATGCAGTCTATCACTGATGGGCATTTGGTTCGAAGTCTTTGCTATTGTGAATAGTGCTGCAATAAACATACATGTGCATGTGTCTTTATACTAGAATGATTTATAATCCTTTGGGTATATACCCAGTAATGAGATTGCTGGGTCAAATGGTATTTCTGGTTCTAGGTCCTTGAGGAATTGCCACACTGTCTTCCACAATGATTGAACTAATTTATACTCCCACCAACAGTGTAAAAACGTTCCTATTTCTCCACATCCTCTCCAGCGTCTGTTGTTTCCTGACTTTTTAATGATCGCCATTCTAACTGGCATGAGATTACATCTCATTGTGGTTTTGATTTGCATTTCTCTAATAACCAGTGATGATGAGCTTTTTTTTCATATGTTTGTTGGTTGCATAAATGTCTTCTTTTGAGAAGTGTCTGTTCATATCCTCTGCCCACTTTTTGATGGAGTTGTTTGTTTTTCTTTTTTCTTGTAAATTTGTTTAAGTTCCTTGTAGATTCTGGATATTATCCCTTTGTCAGGTGGATAGATTGCAAACATTTTCTCCCATTCTGTAGGTTGTCTGTTCATCACTTTGATGATAGTTTCTTTTGCTGTGCAGAAGTTCTTTAGTTTAATTAGATCCCATTTGTCAATTTTGGCTTTTGTTGCCATTGCTTTTTGGTGTTTTAGTCATGAAGTCTTTACCCATGCCTATGTCCTGAATGGTATTGCCTAGGTTTTCTTCTAGGGTTTTTTATGATTTTAGGTCTTACATTTAAGTCTTTAATCCATCTTGAGTTAATAAGGTGTAAGGAAAGGGTGCAGTTTCAGTTTTCTGCATATGGCTAGCCAGTTTTCCCAACCCCATTTATTAAATAGAGAATCCTTTCCCCATTGCTTGTTTTGTCAGGTTTGTCAAAGATCAGATGGTTGTAAATGTGTGGTGTTATTTCTGAGACCTCTGTTCTGTTCCATTTGTCTATATATCTGTTTTGGTATCAGTACTGTGCTGTTTTGGTTACTGTAGCCTTGTAGTATATTTTGAAGTCAGGTAGCGTGATGCCTCCAGCTTTGTTTTTTGCTTAGGACTGTCTTGGCTATATGGGCTCTTTTTTGGTCCCATATGAAATTTAAAGTAGTAGTTTTTCCTAATTCTGTGAAGAAAGTCAATGGTAGCTTGATGGGGTTAGCATTGAATCTATAAATTACTTTGGGCAGTATGGCCATTTTCACAATATTGATTCTTCCTATCCATGAGCATGGAATGTTTTTCCATTTGTTTATATCTTCTTTTATTTCCTTGAGCAGTGGTTTTTAGTTCTCCTTAAAGAGATCCTTCACATCCCTTGTTAATTGTATTCCTAGGTATTTTATTCTCTTTTTACCAATTGTGAATGGGAATTCACTCATGATTTGGCTCTGTTTGTCTATTATTGGTGTATAGAAATGCTTGTGATTTTAGCACATTGATTTTGTATCCTGAGACTTTGCTGAAGTTGCTTTTCAGCTTTGGCTAAGATGATGGGGTTTTCTAAATATACAATCATGTCATCTGCAAACAGAGACAATTTGACTTCCTCTCTTCCTATTTGAATACCCTTTATTTCTTTTGCCTGATTGCCCTGGCCAGAGCTTCCAATACTGTGTTGAATAGGAGTGGTGAGAGAGGACATCCTTGTCTTGTGCCGGTTTTCAGAGGGAATGCTTCCAGCTTTTGCCCATTCAGTATGATATTGGCTGTGGGTTTGTCGTAAATAGCTCATATTATTTTGAGATACATTCCATCAATACCTAGTTTATTGAGAGTTTTTAGCATGAAAGGGTGTTGAATTTTATAGAAGGCCTTTTCTGCGACTATTGAGATAATCATGTGCTTTTTGTCACTGGTTCTGTTTATGTGATGGATTACATTTATTGATTTGCATATGTTGAACAAGCGTTGCATCCCAGGGATGAAGCCAACTTGATTGTGGTGGATAAGCTTTTTGATGTGCTGCTGGATTCAGTTTTCCAGTATTTTATTGAGGATTTTCATGTCAATGTTCATCAGGGATATTGGCCTGAAATTTTCTTTTTTTGTGGTGTCTCTGCCAGGTTTTGGTAGCAGGATGATGCTGGCCTCATAAAATGAATTCCTGTTTTTCTTTTTTTCTTTCTTTGTACCTCTGGTACCTCTGGTAGAATTCAGCTGTGAATCCATCTGGTCCTGGGCTGTTTTTGGTTGGTAGGCTATTTAATTACTGCCTCAATTTCAGAACTTGTTATTTGTCTATTCAGGGATTCAACTTCTTCCTGGTTTAGTATTGGGAGGGTGTATGTGTCCAGGAATTTATCCATTTCTTCTAGATTTTCTAGTTTATTTGTGTAGAGGTGTTTATAGTATTCTCTGATGGTAGTTTGTATTTCTTTGGGATCAGTGGTTATATCCCTTTATCATTTTTTATTGAGTCTATTTGATTCTTCTCTCTTTTCTTCTTTATTAGTCTTGCTAGCGGTCTATCAATTTTGTTGATCCTTTCAAAAAACCAGCTCCTGGATTCACTGATATTTTGAAGGGTTTTTTCTGTCTCTATCTCCTTCAGTTCTGCTCTGATCTTAGTAATTTCTTGCCTTCTGCTAGCTTTTGAATGTGTTTGCTCTTGCTTCTCTAGTTCTTTTAATTGTGATGTTAGGGTGTCAATTTTAGATCTTTCCTGCTTTCTCTTGTGGGCATGTAGTGCTATAAATTTCGCTCTACACACTGCTTTAAATGTGTCCCAGAGATTCTGGTATGTTCTGTCTTTGTTCTCATTGGTTTCAAAGAACATCTTTATTTCTGCCTTCATTTTGTTATGTACCCTGTAGTCATTAAGGAGCAGGTTGTCCAGTTTCCATGTAGTTGAGTGGTTTTGAGTGAGTTTCTTAATCCTGAGTTCTAGTTTGATTGCACTGTAGTCTGAGAGACAGTTTGTATGCCTTCACCCTAAAGAGGCCTAGAAGAGCTGTGGCAAGATGAGGGCGTTTATAGCCCTATCTTATCCATATGAACAGGCACCCCTCATGCATCCATTTATAGGCTCTCCACAAGGGTCGCATTCCATTCCCAGAATTATGAACATCTGCTTTTCTGAGATAGGAATCTTGGTGATGTGAAACCTCCCTGACTGCACATCCATTCATAGGCTCTCTGCAGGGGGAAGCACATTACACACTGTTGGCTCATTCTGGCAGTCCAACCTGGCATTGTCTTTACACAATCCTGCATGCAATTTTGTACTTACAATTATCAGAAGCATTTCATCTTTTATTCCATAGCAATAGTTTCAGGGGGTCTCCCTACATCTCCTCATTTTCTCTGATTTAAATGAACCATAGCAATCATAGCTTGGCGCTGATCATGATTGGATTGAATAATATTTTTTCCAATTTTACACATGAACAATAAACCAATAGCACAAATTATACACAGAACAAAATTACCGATAGTGGATCCTCCCAAAGATTTTACTCATTGAATGGGGTTGAGATTAGATAACCCCTCAGAGATACCATCTAAAACTTCATCACTGGGTAAAGAAGTTAAGTGTGCTTGAGAGGCCTCAAAAATCTTTTCTTTTAGCTTGCTTATGTCTAAACTCAAATTATCTTCACTTCCTTGTAAATGGCGTTTTACTGATTCCCAATTGTGAACAGACTCATTATATTGGAACGGAGCTATACAAAAATCAGAAATATTCCAATCACATTGCATTTGTAATCCGTGTTCTAAACTCTTAATTCTATCTCCCATCCATATAATAGTTTGTCTTAGATCATTAATTTGATTGGCCAATTTTTGATCAATACCTGACTGAGAATTCCACATTCAAATAGAATTTTTTTGCCATTTATCCGCAAAATGAGCAGTTTGAATAGATTGATGTAATGCAACTCCAGCAGTAGCAGCAGTCACCGTAACAGCAATCAAGCCCATTATTACTGCAATTAATGTAAAAATAAATCGTTTACTCCTTTTAAGAATTTTCTTTAGAATATTATTAATAACATCGATAGAAGAGGAAGATTTCCAAGGCCTATGTAAGGCTACAGGGAGCCAACTACCTTCTCTGGCTCTGACTATTAAAATACTATGATATTGATTAAAGGATGAGTCAATACAAGTATACAAGTAACAATTAACACAGGTAATTATGTTGGTTTTTGAACTAATATGCATCTTTCCTACTAATAACATATATGGTGGTTTAACACAACTTTTAAGTGGTATAGTTTTGTTGGACTCCATATAGATAGTATATATATTTTGGGATGGTACTCTTTTTTGTGAATGTGGGGTGGGGGGAATAGGTTGTATGAGAGGTGGCAGGGGGACATTAGCAACAGGGGGGTATAAGTCCTCATAATCTTTACTGTCCCATCTTTGAATTGACCTTTTGATGATTGCCATAGTGATATTTTTGGCTGTGTGGAAATAGTAGTGTAAATCAATCTGTTGTCTTAGTTTTCAAGGTGACAAGGTGGATTTACTTATAACCCTTTCTCCAGCCCAAACTCTCATACCAATCATAGCTATGGTTAATCTCCATAATTCTGAATGTTCAGGTCCTAAGTGGGGAACAACAAGCCTTGGCTTTGGAGGGGCAATCCCTGCCCCTTTCCACTTTAAAGGAAAAAAGGAGTTAAATCTATGATATAATAGGGAAGGGTTGTCACTACTTTTTTGATAAGTAATATCATAGAGAAAATGTTGACAATCTCTGTGGCCTTGAGAGCAATCATTAGTAATATGACCTTTAGGAGCCCAGTCAACAATGGTGTAGTGAGAAGAATTAAATAACACAGTTCCTTCTGAACTAACACAATCCTTCCATATTAATTTGTCAGCATTTGAAGACAAGTTGAGAGGACACACAGGTCCTAAAGGCTTATATTGGGATGTGTGAATATAATCAGCGATTCCTATTTTGATCTGTCTTAGAGGTTTTAATGAGAGCCCTGATACCAAGTGTCCTAAAGGAGGGACAGAGTGACCAGATGGTAGTGTGACCTCCAAGGTTTGAATATCTAATGAGAAACATCCATTAGTGGGTCTCAGGCACAAAGGTGGATACCTAAAACCTAAAGTGATATTGAAAGGGGTTCCTTCTTCTGAAGGTTGGGCAGGACAACGATCATCTACAGAACCAGGCATCCAAATACTATCATTAACATAGACCTCAGTAGGAGCGTCCATCCATGTCATGGCTCGAATAAGAGGAGGAAAAGGAATATAGGCCCAATATGTATAGTTTTTAACAGTCTATAGAGTGACAGAGGGTAGAAGGAGCAATGTCATCAGGAGGAGGCAGAGGTTGAGCTGGACCTGGATCGCTGGAGACAAGTTGTTCAGGATGGCTGACTGGATTGTCTGTTGTAAAGGAGTTAGCATGGTCATTTTCTTCTTTTTTGACAATTGGATGTGTTAGTTGTTTCCTGCTGTGGCATTTTTTCAGCAAATTTCTCTGTCTCGTTGTTGCATGCATCTTCAGGACACAATTTCAGGTGTCTAGCAGTAATCTAAACAGGAGATTGATGTTCACCTGGGGAAACACAAGCGTAGACTCTTCCCCACATTAAAATAGAAACTTTTGACCATATATTAGATTGAACATCTTTCCACCATACTTCCCTTCCTTGGTTTACCATGGGACGGTTACCAGAGAAATGTTTTTCGACAGCAGTAACAGAACTAGATTTAGGAATATTAAGAAAATTTAATGTGAGCAATGCCAAGTTTAGTTGTATGTGAGGGGTAGACTCCTTATCCCCCTCTTTTTGTTTAAGTAATTGTAATTTTAAAGTTCTGTTACTTCTTTCTACAATAGCTTGGCCTTGTGGGTTATAAGGAATACCAGTAATATGTTTAATATGCCACTGATCAAGAAAATTTTTAAAAGCTTTACTGCAATAGGCTGGACCATTGTCTGTTTTGAGCTCACTAGGAATTCCCATAACCGCAAAACATGAAAACATATGTTTTTTAACATAAGAAGTGGCTTCTCTGGTTTGACAGGTAGCCCAGATGAAATTGGAAAAGGTGTCAACTGTGACATGCACATAAGCTAATTTTCCAAAAGATGGGTGC
Organism: Homo sapiens; assembly: GCF_000001405.40. Lineage (NCBI taxonomy): Eukaryota > Metazoa > Chordata > Mammalia > Primates > Hominidae > Homo > Homo sapiens. The sequence continues at coordinate 109,859,065 of NC_000004.12, forward strand.
CAGATATTGCGGGATCTGGCCAGCAAACCACAATGCAATGGGGCTCTTTCTTTTGTTCCCAGGCAGATCAGCAGGTCAAAAAATAATAGACACACACAAGATAGTGAAAGCTGGATCCAGGGGGGTCACCACCTTCTGGTCCCACGGTGCCACCAATGCACTAGATATACCAGCATTTATTATTAAGTTTAGTGAGGGTGGGGGTAGGTTAGTGAGGGATTTAGGGTCATTTGATTGTGTGTGTGAGATGGTCACATGGGGATGAAGTAATTCTTTAACATAACATCTGTATGCAGAAGTACAGTATACAGAGATAAGAATTTACAATATAGTGTGTGCATCAGTAATTTCTAACAGAGCCTTAAAACAGAAACACAGTCTTTTCATAACCTATGATTAGCAAGATATTAATCAGCAGTAACAGTTGCAGCAAAAGCTGGTTACAAACAATCCATAGAAACAGGACGTGAAGCTAGACAACCGGTTAGACCAGAAATTCTCAGAAGGAAGTATGCCCTAAAGAGGCCTAGAAGAGCCATGGCAAGATGAGGGTGTTTATAGCCCTATCTTATGCATATGGACAGGTGCACCTCATGCATCCGTTTATAGGCTCTCCACAAGGGTCACATTCCATTCCCAGAGCTATGAACATCTGCTTTTCTGGGATAGGAATCTTAGTGATGTGAAACCTCCCTGACTGCACATCCATTCATAGGCTCTCTGCAGGGGGAAGCACATCACGCATGTTGGCTCATTCTGGCAGTCCAGCCTGGCATTGTCCTTACACAATCCTGCATGCAATTTTGTACTTACAATAATCAGGAGCATTTCATCTTTTATTCCATAGCAATAGTTTCAAGGGGTCTCCCTACATAAGGTGAGGCTTTTCAATTACTCTTTCTCTTCTACAGGAGTAAAAACATCAACTTAGTAAAATTGTCCTTTATTGTATCCATGAATACTTAAACTATTGCCCTGCAAATAAACATTGGAATTAACTATAAAACCAGGTTTTGTTTTGCAATGCAGGTAAATTTCCATGGCCTGTTTCTTAAGATTAAGTAAATATTTACACAGGCATATTCTGTAAGTCCTGACACTGTTTGTCTCAGAGAAAAAGGCCTGTGGTAGAATAAAACATAAAATGCTTTTTTTTTGGGGGTGTTGTTTTACTTGTACCCAAATTTGCTGAATTGTAAACATGGGCTCTTTTCCTATTTGAAATGGAGTTTGCCTGAAGGATGGTGGCAGCCCTAGTATTTCCAGACTTTTCTAAAATGGTGTTAATTTAGTTCAAAAAACACTTATCAATCTCTGTAGATGTGCCCCACCCTTTTTTGGTTTGAGGAAACAAATCCACATAGGTAAGGTTTATGCCTTGCTGGGTGCTCTAATCCTCACCCTCTTTCTATAGCTGGCAGAGTCAAGTTTCAAATTTACAGTTAATCTCCAAAGACATCACTCTTTACTTTTTAAAACCTTGTTTTTAATGGAGACATTAAGGTATACTTTGTATAGGTGGAATGCAGGATTGTAAGTCTACAGTTTGTTAAATTCTGATAAATGTATACCCTTACATAACTTACACCATCATCAAGATACAGAATATTTCCATGACCTCAGAAAGTTCTGTGTTTCTTTCCAGTCAATCTTGCCTCACCTATTTGAATTTTCATCACTATAGGTTAATTGTGCCTGCTCTAGAATGTTATGTAAATGGAATCATATAAGATGAACCTTTGTGCCAGGCTTCTTTCACTCAGCATCATGTTTTTGAAAATCATCCATGCTGTCGCATGTATTGGTAGTTCATTATTGCAAAATTGTATTCAATTGTATGAATGAAGCAATTGTTCATCCTTTCTCCTGATGTTGGACACATGGGTGTTTCGAGTTTGGGGCCATAATAAATTAAGCTGCAATTAACATTCTTGTACAAAGCTTTTTGTGGCACATGTTTTCATTTCATTATCTTGGATAAATTCCTAGAATTGAAATTGCTGGATTATAGAATGGCTATATGGCTGGGGGCCATGGCTCACTCCTGTAATCCCAACACTTTGGGAGGCGAAGGCAGGCAGATCACTTTTAGTCAGGAGTTTGAGACCAGCCTGGTCAATGTGGCGAAACCCTGCCTCTACTAAAAAATACAAAAATTAGCCAGGTGTGGTGGTGCATGCCTATAGTCCCAGCTACTCAGGTGAGGTAGGAGAAACCTGGGAGGCAGATGTTGCAGTGAATTGAGATCACGTCACTGCACTACATCCTGGGTGGAAAAAAAAAAAAAGAGAAAAAGAATGGCTATATGTATAACTTTTAAGGAAACTTCCTGTTTTCCAAAGAGACTGTATAACATTATACATTCCCACTAGCACTGCATGACAGTCTGGTTGCTCCATATCCTCACCAACACTTAATGTTGTTGGTCTTTTTCATTTCAGCTATTCTGGGGGGTGGGTGGGTCAGGAAGCGGTATCACAATGTGTTTTTAATTTCCATTTCCCTGATTATTAATGGTGTTGGCCAGATTTTCATTTGCTTATGGGTCACTGTATATCTTCCTTTATGAACTATCTTTTGCTTAATTTTTAAGGGCTATTTGTCTTTTCTTTATTGAATATAAGTCTTTTGTCTGTTATATGCACTGTGAATATTTTCTCCAAGGCTGACTTGCCTATTTATTTTTTCCTGGTGTCTTTAGTAAAAAAAGGTTTACATTTTGATGACATTTGATTCATTAGTTTTTTCCTTTTACAGTTAGTGCTTTCTGTGTATCATCTAAAACATGTTTGCCTACCTCAAAATCACAGATATGATATTTTCTTATAGTTTTAGCCTTTATACTCAATTTTTAGCTGTATATTCTTAGCTCTTAGGCTTATAGCTATTATCCATCTCAAAATAGTTTTGGAGTATTGTGTAAAGTAGGGGTTGAGGTTCATATGCTTGCAAACACGTGTCCACTTGTTCCAGCACCATTCATTAAAAAGACGTTCCTTTCCCTACTGAATTGTTAAACATGGTTGTCTCCACAAAGCTGAGTAGGCATAGTCTTTGCCTTCAAGGGCTTATAGTCCTCAGAATAACTTTTGTACAAAAATTTATTGCTCACTTTTCACACAAAAATAGCGCATTTAGTCCAACTATTCTGATGCATATAAATACTATTCTTTTAGAAAGGATAAAGTTCACTTGTCCCATCCAAGAATAGTTATATAAAGTAAACTAATTAATGCAAATTAGTGTAATTGTAGTTGATGTATTGCCTTGAAGGAATGCAGTGCAAGTAACAGTTTAACTTGAGAGAGTTCTCTTTCCTTTGTCCTCAGAAGAAAAAAACACTTAAATATATTCAGTTCTTGGATCACTATTTTTATTCAGGTTTTAAAAATTGTACCTTTGACCTTAGAAGTTTCAAGCTGGAGTAAATAGACATTTTATTTTTGAAGGATTTAAAAATATTTACATAACTTTTATATATAACCAGTGAAATTAATTTTTTAAAGAATTTTCTTTCACCATTAATACATTTTTTAATAATTTCAAAGCATGAAATAAATTGTTAACATTGTATAGCTCTTAAATCTTTCCCTGTGTAAACATTTATACTCCAGATATTGCTGCTTTAACATTTTTAAATTTTATTTTATTTTGAAAGAGTATCTCACTTTGTCACCCAGGCTGGAGTGCAGTGGCACAAACCATGACTCCTGGGCTCAGTTGATCCCCTCAACTCAGCCTCCTGGTAGCTGGGACAACAGGCAAGTGCCGCCACCATACCTGGCTAATTTTTGTATTTTTGTATTTTTTGTAGAGACAGGATCTTGCCATGTTGCACAGGCTGGCCTTGAACTCCTGACCTCAAGCAATCTTCCCACCTCAGCCTCACAAAGTGTTGGGATTACAGGTGTGAGCCATTGTGCCTGGACATTTTTTTATTTGTAAATAATAGCGCTTATGACTGTCACTATGACTCTAAATGTTTTTAGATGGCAAAGAGATGAGTTATGATAGAAAGGGTATTAGATTAGGATGCTAAAAAAATCTGGGATGTAGGATTCTAAGCCATTTACAAAGTCAAGATAGTAATATCTTTGTGCTTTGGCTTCCTTTGGTGTAAAACTGGAAGAATAATACCAGATTCCAGAGGTGGTAGAAGGCATAACATGGCGGTTAAGAGCTTTAACCACTGTGGTGGGTGGTTAAAACCTTTAACCAGCATGGTGGTTTAAGATCAGGATACTGAAGTTCAAATCCTGGCTGTCCAATTGTGTGACCCTGGGCAGATTCCTTAAGCTTCCTGAACCTTGGTTTTCTCATCTTTAAAATGGGGATGATAATAGTACTACCTATCCCATGCTTTTGTGAGGATTGAGTCAGTCCATCCTTCAGACGCTTAGTGCCGTTGTTCTTTGATCTCCTGAATCTCTGCATGTCTTGTGAGCAGAGGCAGACATTGATTACCTTTTATTCTGCACTATCTTTTCAAGGATTACCTTTTATTCTGCACTATCTTTTCAAGAGAACAGCTTTGGAGGTAGAAATATATCTCCTTCCAGAGCAAAGGGTAAGCATGCTTACTACCCAGTATAATAAAGATGTCTCCCTTCAGTGCTGTGAGCAATGAGCTCCTTCAACCCTGAGCAGGAGTCTTGTGTCTTCTACCAACATCCATAAAACGATGGCAGGCAAACTTGCCCATATCTGAGAAGTTTCCCAGAATGTGGACCTCTCAGTGCTAAAAGCAAGAAAGTCCTGGGCAAACTGAAATGAGTTGCTGGCAAACTGGAATAGGTTGGTCACCCTAAAGTAGGGTCAAATCTCAGAGCCTCTGCAGTTTTGGAGAAGCACGGTCTTTGCCACATAGGAAGCAATCAAAACTTGTAACTTGCATTGGTAGTATTACATAAAGAAAAAAATCTGGCATAAGTTGAAGTGTTTTCAAACTATGAAATAGTCTATACATATTATATAACTGAATAAATTTGATGTGCTGGCAGATTTAGAAATTAATCTTAAAATTAAATAATAAAATAGCTATGATGAGCATAGCTTTTATATATAAATTTTGACACAAATTTATAGATATAAAATATAAGTAACCTTTTATTTCAATATAAATGTTTTAGTATCATTCTATTTATGAATTCTTACTATATTAAGGTGGGTGTTTACATGTTCCTTTCTAAATCTTTTGATTGTTTTTATCTAACTTAAAATATCCCCTTTCCTCCTCTTAGGCACTATGATAACATCCCTTTGCCCTAGAGGACACTTGCCAGTTTGCATCCTGTGCTCTTCTCTTTGCTGGTTTTCTCTTTCACTCAGGGAGCAGACATGTGATTGGATCCTCACTTTGAGATTTAATTATTTGTGAGAGGCAAGCCATATATTTATTCATTGATTTCTTGCAAACTACAGCTCACAATGCTGACAATACCAACTGATAGCAACATTTTTAATCTTTTATAACTTTTTGTAGAGGTTATTGGCACATTATACACAAACTGACCTGATTAATTTGTTAAACTGTGTGGGTCACAGTCTAACAATCTAATTCCAAATTTAGTTCTTTATAATAACATTTACATGTATATAAGGCAAAACTGGTTAATGTGAAAAATACATGTACAAAGTAAAATAAACTACTGAAAGGATTTCAGCCTTTGGAAGAGGTTCATGATTCCCCCTCCCCTCCATTTTAATAAGTAAAATCAGTTATATTGTTTATAAAAGGAGAATTGACTACTTTTAGTCTGTATTGTAGTCAAAGTTCATAAACTGGCTTCACTTTGTATGATATTCACATTTGAACTGTGTATCAATGTAGACATAGAAAAGTCACAAACTTGAAAGATTTAAAAATAGCACTATTAGGAGAGTCTAGATCCACAGATTATCTTTAGCACCTCAATCAATAGAGATAAAAATGTTACAAATTAGGCATTCTATCATATTCTTCTGCTTTTTACTGAGTGATGATGGATTTTAGTGTTAGTTTGTTGTTCCATCTTTGGTTTCTTTTAGTCTATGATCATTATTTTTATTTTATAGGCTGATAGAACGTTACGGCTGTAAAAAGCTCTAGCATTTATCTAGTCAACTCTCCCATTTTGCCGATGAGAAAACAGGCTCAGCAAGGTTGCATCACCCAGGTCACAGAATTAACTAATGGTTGAGCCTCATCAGGAACCCAGGCACAGTAAAGTTGGTGAGAATGTCATTTCCTATTACTTTTAAAATTTCTCTTTCATATATTTAAATCTGGCCTTCACATATCAGGTCAACTAATACGTACAATAATGACTGAATATCTAATGTGGTATCTGGTGGTGAAATGGGTTTTTGAATGTCTATGAACTGACTACATTATTATAGGTGTTTTGGTATCTATCAGATCATATCTCCACCATTACTTATGTACTTGTTTTGAATTCTTTCTTAGTAGACATACAGATTGTATTACATTTGGTTTCTTTTGTTAAGATCAAGAAAATATGGACTCTAGTATAGGGAATATGTTTTGTGTGAATGAAATTTGTTACTTATTCAGAGATTGAAATGACTATATTTTACAAAAGATTTTAAGTACTATGTTTAGCAAGAAAGGTTAAAGGTCACTATGAATAAACCATTGTTCAAAGTAATTTCCATGAATTATGTAATTAAAAATTCATGCAACTCTATGAAAGAACTACTGCATTCTATAGATGAGGCTGAGAGAGGTTGTTATTATAGATATCTCATGGGGGTGAAGCTTGACAGAACCAAGATTTCAGCCCAGACGTTAGGTTCCAGAGCCACACTTAATCATAGCAATATAAAATAAACTAGAAAGTCTGCTTACCATATAAAATTGGATGAAAGAGCCAACAGTTAAGAGAATAGAATTCAAATTAATATTGATTCAATAACTAGGTATAGATTAACAAGATTAAATATAAGAGGAAAAGTTTAAAGTTATTCACCCATGGAAGAAAAGCATACTTCTAAAACAGGAGATGAAAAAGTAAACTTTTACCAATCCTGGCAGAAAAATACGAGCCAGTCATGACTTGCTATTATAATTTTTAAAAAGTATAATAAAAATATAGAATTTATGAACTAACAGTTACATTTCCAGCATGGTTAGAATTTGTAAAATTGCAGTTTCGTCTTTTCTTCTCAATTTATAATCCACTCCATTAGTAAAAAGCTATAACCACAAATCTCTGTGACAAATTTTTTTCTATCTTGGGCTTTATATGAGGCTGTTATGGAACATCACCCCTAAGATCCTAGAGAGACTTTTGCCTGACAGAATGCTCTAAAGCTCCATCTTAGATCCTTCTGAGATTTTAGCACAAAATTTTACAGTCACGCCTGGATTCGATGTTTGCTCTGAAGTTCTATCTTAATTTGAGAATTTTGGAGAGGCCGAGAATAAGAAACAATTTTTTAATTGAACTCAGCAAATTTCGATTCCTTTATATTTAACAGTTCTTCTTTAACTGTTGCCTCTCCTTTATATTTTATTACCTAAAACACACCAGGGAGTAGTTTCAATACTCTTTGTGGAACTATCCTTAGGTAGACCACATTGCATTGAGTATGTTTTTGATTTTCCATGTGGACCACAGGTGACAGTGCTGCTAAACTTTTTGCTACTCAGTAGCAAGGATCCTCTTTCCTCTAGTTTCCAGCAACATTTTCCTCACTTTTCTTCAAGCCCTCACTGATAGCCTTCCTGAAGGCCCAAAGGCTTCTGCTAACAATTCTGAAAGTGAGACATCCTGAAGATGCTTGCAACTGGAAGCTGTCCGCTAACCGCATTGCTTGCAGCTGATTCTCTCTTGAAGGGAGTATTGAGCAAGTCACCTTCATGGTCACCATATATGACATTCATGCCAAGCCATGTTCTTGCTTCCACCAGTCTTTCTAGACTTCTCTACTGCCATTGCCAGCATCTCACTCTATATCTTTTGCCACACAAAGCTTGCATTACCTCAATATACCTTCAAATCACATAAAACCATAACCTATTCCAGGTTGAGTTAGGTGTCTCTGAGCACCCTATAATACTTACAATACTGTAAGTACTTTCATAGCACCTTTGAAAGATCTTTATTACTGTATTATGGCATTCTATGGTACCTGGATTAAAGTCTTGGCTCTGACACTAATTAGCTTTGTGACCTTGGCCAAGTTATTGGGTCCCTCTGAGGCCTCATCTTTAACATAGGGATAGATGAAGTCTGAGCTTCATCTTTAACATAGGAATAATAATATCATTTTCTCATAGGATTATTGAGATTACATGTGATAATACAGGTAAGTGCTTAGTACATAATCTAGCACAGAGTGAATGCTCAATAAGTATTAGCCATGATTATTAATGATCTGAACTAATGGACAGGATATGTTCACCGAGATTGCTGGATTGCAGAGCAAAACTGACATAAAGGTGACTCTGCTTCATCCCTCAAAGCACTTCTGTTTATAGGGAGACAGTGTAGATCCCTACTTTCTCAAGAGGCAGGATGTAAACTGAAGTCATCAGAATAATCTTTGTCAACCTTTCCCACCTTCTGTTTTAGGTCTACAGGACAATCCTTGGTTCTGTGACTGTCATATTTCCAAAATGATTGAGTTGTCAAAGGTCGTTGACCCTGCTATAGTGCTTCTGGATCCACTGATGACTTGCAGTGAACCTGAGCGCCTCACAGGAATTTTGTTTCAGCGGGCTGAATTGGAGCATTGTCTGAAACCATCAGTGATGACCTCAGCCACCAAAATCATGTCTGCTCTGGGCAGTAATGTTCTACTGCGGTGTGATGCCACTGGCTTCCCCACCCCACAGATCACATGGACCAGATCTGACAGCTCGCCAGTTAATTATACAGGTATTTTCTTAATTCAGCCCCATGATCAAAGGAGTTTACTAAGCTTTGAAGTTAACATCATGTGTTGTGTGATTTGAAATTAGCTAGTTAACACTAATAAAATATTTCAAGATTATTGGGTGCAAGGGATTTTAAAGGTACATTTTATTCATTAGTATTCTCCTCAGTTTATCTAACTACCTAGATAAAATTAAACAATCTAAACTCTTTTTCTTAGGTAGAATGAAACAATGCAGTGGATGGATCAATGGCAGACAAGGTCTTTGTCTTGCTTCATCAACTTGGATACAGCTTACTTCAAAATGTACAGCCTTTACAATTTTTTAAAAAGGGCCTTTTGCTGGTTGGGTGCGGTGGCTCACACCTGTAATCCCAGCACTTTGGGAGGCCGAGGTGGGTGGATCACCTGAGGTCAGGAGTTTGAGACCAGCCTGGCCAACATGGCAAAACTCCGTCTCTACTAAAAATACAAAAATCAGCTGGGCTTGGTAGTGTGCACCTGTAATCCCAGCTACTCAGGAGGCTGAGGCAGGAGAATTGCTTGAATTTGGGGGGTGGAGGTTGCAGTGAGTTAAGATCGCACCACTGCAGAGTAAGACTGTCTTAAAAAAAAAAAAAAAAAAAAAAGGACGGGGGGCTTTTGTACAAGTCTCTCATTTTTGAATAATTATTTAAATAATAAATTACATGGACACCTTATTATGAATCAAAAAGTATAATTTTTAGAAATATTGATTATATAGACTTTTCAGATCCTAGTGTGACAATGTGTATGCTTTGTGCCCAATTTCAAGAGTGATATTCTGACAATTAAAGTGATATATTTTTAAAACTCTTCAATATTAAACTAAAATTCAGGTTGAAATAATGAAACCTGATGGAAATAAAGAAGTTAAGGCCTAATGTTCCTATATATAGGTAGTCAATGGTCCACAGTTTCAGCTAGTGAGTTAAGTTTTGGGCTACTGGGCTACTGTTCTGCGCATTATTATTATTCTTTGAAAAGCTTCTGAAATCAAGGAAGAATGAAAATATACCCAGATATCAGAGTTTAGGATAGCAAAATTCTGATTTTTTAAAAAACTATATGTTATTTGCAAACAAAAGAATCCTTGATTTGCCAGTTTACCTAAGTTAAATATAAAATAAATTATTCGGAATACAAATGATGACTCTGCCATGCCAGAAAATGATCTGCTGTACCTCTGGCTATAGAGATATATGCATTTTATTACCATGAAAACATATAATAAGAAATACTTAAGTAAGATCTTATGAAAAACATTCCATAGAATCACAGTGACTTAAAATTGAAAGGGACCTTTGAGATTACTTCGTCTCATCCTCTTATTTTATAAATGCAGAAACAGAAGCCTAAAGATATGAATTGACTTATCTACAACCAAACACTGTTTAGTGGGCAAAAGTTTCTAAAACCCAAGTGTCCTGATTCCCAGCCTTTTGTCTTTTAAAAATACTATTCCCTGTACAGACCTCACAACACCTGGCAGGTCCTAGACCTTGATGTAAGCAGTTTGCAGAACTATCACCCACTGTCAGAGACTTGCAGGGTGCCATTTCCCTCTTGGCTTCTGTGAGAGGATGCATGTAGAGTGGATAGTTGTTTCCTCCTCAGTTGGCATGGTGGCTTGAATTTTCTTTTTGTTCCTCACAGACTATACATTTGTTTTCTTCCAGTAATACAAGAATCTCCAGAGGAAGGAGTCAGATGGTCCATAATGAGCTTGACAGGCATTTCTTCCAAAGACGCTGGGGATTACAAATGTAAGGCCAAAAATCTGGCTGGGATGTCAGAAGCTGTGGTTACTGTGACAGTGCTTGGCATTACCACAACTCCAATACCACCAGACACTTCTGAAAGAACTGGAGATCATCCTGAGTGGGATGTCCAGCCGGGATCTGGAAGATCTACATCTGTATCTAGCGCATCATCATATCTTTGGTCCTCTTCCTTCTCCCCCACATCTTCTTTTTCTGCTTCTACTTTGTCTCCTCCCTCTACTGCTTCCTTCTCTTTATCTCCTTTCTCCTCCTCCACTGTTTCTTCAACCACAACTCTGAGCACAAGCATCTCAGCAAGTACCACCATGGCCAACAAGCGATCATTCCAGCTCCACCAAGGTGGGAAAAGAAATTTAAAGGTGGCAAAGAATGGAAGTAAGCTTCCTCCAGCCAGCACAAGTAAGAAAGAAGAGCTGGCATTGTTGGATCAAACAATGCTTACGGAGACAAATGCCGCAATAGAAAACCTCAGGGTGGTCAGTGAGACTAAAGAGAGTGTGACATTGACGTGGAATATGATCAACACCACACATAACTCTGCAGTGACTGTGTTGTATTCCAAGTATGGTGGGAAGGACCTGCTGCTGTTGAATGCAGACTCCAGCAAGAACCAAGTAACCATAGATGGCTTGGAACCCGGTGGGCAATACATGGCCTGTGTCTGTCCAAAAGGAGTGCCTCCCCAGAAAGACCAATGCATCACCTTTTCTACTGAAAGAGTTGAAGGAGATGATTCTCAATGGTCTCTCCTTCTCGTGGTGACCAGTACTGCCTGTGTTGTTATCTTACCATTGATTTGTTTCTTGTTGTACAAAGTTTGCAAACTGCAATGTAAATCAGAACCTTTTTGGGAAGATGATTTGGCAAAGGAGACTTATATCCAATTTGAGACCCTGTTTCCCAGGTCTCAAAGTGTAGGTGAGCTCTGGACACGAAGCCACAGGGATGACTCAGAGAAATTGCTGCTTTGTTCTAGGTCAAGTGTGGAATCTCAGGTGACTTTTAAAAGTGAAGGTTCCAGACCAGAGTATTATTGCTAAGGTTCTGCAGCTCAGGTGCATGTGAGCTACAAAACTAGCATCTAAGGGTATAATTGACCCTAGGTTTGGATGACTTTTGGACAGACTTTCACATTGTACATGAAAATCACAAATGGAATGCTTTTAAGTATGTTTAAAAAATACCATGAGACCTCTGAACTGAAAAGACAAATAATGTTGATTTTTTTTCTTGTGTGGAAAAGGTCTACAGAAATAATTTTTAGAGTGGTGCTTAATAAATTATTAATACTTTTTAGGGTAATGTTTTAGTTCTTAAAAATAAGTTCATGTGAAAGTAGCAAGTGAACTCTGTATTTAAAAATATAGTTTTTTGAGTCATGAGGAAACATTAGCAAAACCAGCTAAGCCTTGATGTTTATTCATGTTCGAAGTGCATTATAGCATTTGCTGTGGATGTTTTCTGACATTGCCTAATGGAGAGCGTGGGATCATAAAGGATTTTGTGTTCACTAAGGTTAAATCTAACTCACGGGAGAGAGAGGGCTCTGTCTCTTGGTACCATTATGCATTGTGATACTATAGAGTTGTGTTCATATTTCTTGTAAGAAAAATTTTTGCTTTTCTTTAGAAATATAGGTATTAGCAAAAGTAAGTATACAAAGAGGATTATGACAAATAGACCATTTCTTTAAAAATGGTAACTGTTGCATTTAAACACATCGACTGACAGATTATATGGATATTTAAAAATAACTTTAAATCAATCTTTTAATATTTTGCTGTTTGCTCTTATGTTCTCCCTTCTTTCTTCCTTCCTTGTCTTCCCTCCCTTTCCTTCCTTCATTCTTTCTTTCTTCTGCTCTGTCAGAAGATATACAAGTAGCCAAAGCATCACGAGCCAAGCTGTTTGTCTTTTGCCATATTGTCTTTTGATTCTCTTGATAAAGAGAAAGCTTTTGAAATTACTTACTGCCCTTTGAAAGTCTGTTTTACAACCCCAAAGGATATTTTAGGACTTTAAAAGGGAAGCTTCAGTGGATTCATTTGGTTAGATTCTTTTCCTAGGTTAAAAACATCGGGGAACTTAAATACATAGGAAAGGAGTTCACAAATAAAATTTAGTTTTTTTAGAAAGAGAATATTTTAATAACTGTAGTATACTACAAGAAACATCTCATGGCTTTAAGATTAACGATAGCGATAAGGCCCACTCAAGCATCTCACAGTGGTGATATTACATGTCACTTAGCAGGATGCAACCTGGCCTAGGGATTTCCAGAAGACAAGGCCACCTCAGCACAGATGCAACTTTCATAAATTTTAGAACAAAGCCTAACCTTACTAGATTAAACTTGCTCTATGAAAGAAACACTTGGTAATTGACCCAGACTGAATACATGTATAAGAAATGGGAAAGATCTCCCAAACTCTGAGAACGGTCCTCAAATAGAAGCTCTCCTAGTCAGTTGGTCATCTGACCTCTGACTATATCCGGCCTATGACACCAGCCAGCTCCTGCTTTCTGTCTTGTAAGAGCACTGCTGGAATAAACTACTTGAGCATTAGATGGTGTCTAAGACTCATCTTTGATGACAGGGATAAATCACCCTTGTGAAGCTGGCTAGCTGGGACCACCCAAAACCTCAGAACACAACTAGCAGTGAGGATGAAATTTGAGTAAGCCAATGAGTGATGACACCCATTTCTACAGGAGGATCAAGGGAGAGTGGCCAGGGCCTGGCTCTGATCGAGAGATTGGGTGAGGTCTGAGGAACACTCTACAGTGGGTCTGGCAGTTTTTGTTCTGTTTTCACATGTGTTGCTGCCTTCTATCTTTACTTTGTGCCTCTGTTTTGGAGGTCACCACCAGGTAAAATTTGCCAAAATTACTTTTAAGACCACTCTGGTCCCACAGGAAGGTGGGCTTCTAGGAGGAGGGTGGTAGGAATGCTGTAGGCTGGGGGACACCCTGGGCTTGAAGAGCCAACCACCAGCTGGTATGTTTCTAGCCTCAGCTGTGGGAGAGGAGCTCCTCGTCCCCAAAGGTCCTGGCATCATGACCCCATAGACCAAGAAGGCTCAAGTACATCTTCTCCACAGAAAGCTTATCTGTTGTCTGCCAACTGGGGAAAGAGACTTCTCCAACATACCCCGGTCTAATGCCGTTAGCAAAGTCACCAAATCACCAACGGGCATGTTGCTGCCATCCCTGTTCCTCTGCATGCTCCCAGTGAGACAGTGCGGCTTCTCCAGGGCTTTACCACCCCCTACAATGCCTGCTGGGTGCTGCCAGCAGCAGCCCATGAGCAGCACATCCAAATCATAGGGGCTCACCTCAGAGTTGCCACTCTGCACCTGGCTGACCTGGAGGCCTGTGAGCTGTGATCATCCTGAGTGCACCAGATTACCCCCAGCAGCACCACAGGCATTGCCAGTCACCACCTGGACACAGTTAAGAAAGCAGCTGCCACCTCCGCAAACAGCGAGGGTGAGGAAGAACTAATCTCGGATCCCAAAGCAAGCACTCTGTCTAGCAGGACTCGGTTAGTAACTGTCAGAGCTGGTTGTTACAAAGTGAGGTTCTTCCTTGCCTTGGCTCCCTTTGGCACACTCACTTCCTTTTCCACTTCTCTGCCATGCTGTGACATGGCAGAGGCCTCACTGGAAGCTGACCAGATATAGTGGGCAGATCTTTGACTCCTAGGCCTCCAGAATTGTAAGCCAAAGTAAACCTCTCTTCTTTATAAATTACTCAGTGTCCTGTTCTGGTGACTCTCCCTTATGCCTGTCTATTCTGTTATGACCACAGAAAACAGACTAAGAAAATTCTTATGGATAGAAGATGCATTCTTACCTTAAATCTTTAGAAACCTATGAGGGTTTCTTACGCTTCATAGAAGCATATGAGGGTTTTTTGTTTTTCTGTTTTTTACCTTATTAAGTCAGGAACTTGCACCTTTTCACGTAAAGGAAGCACTTTACAGCTTCTCTTTGGCATATCCAAGTTGCCTGCGTCACTATTCTTGTGCTTTGGGACCACTGTCAAGTAAAATAAGGGTTACTGGAATGCAAGCACCGTGATACCACGACAGTCCATCTGATAACCACGGCGGCTTCTAAGTGACTGATGGGCAGGGAGTGCATGGTGTGGATCCTCCAGACAAAGTGATGACTTATGTCCTGGGTGGGACGGAGCAGGATGGCAAAATATTTCATCAGACAACTCACAGCCACACCTCCTGGAAACACTCAAGAGCCCTACTTGCATTTGGCAGCCATCTGAAACGGACAAAACCTGAAACTCTAGCTTGACTGGACCACCTCCAAGATCAACTTAAAATTTATGAATTGTTTATTTGTAGATTTTCCATTAAAAATTTTCGGACTGTGGTTGAAGTTGGGTATCTGAAAACGTGGAAAACAAAACCTCAAATAAGGGGGTACTACTGTAGGCCCTTTGACACAAGCAGAAATTCGAAGCCTGCTCAAACACCTGATGCAGAGGCCCAACAGGAAAAGTGCCACCTGGCTGTGGTGTGCGTACTGAACAGGAAGGGTCTACAATTCACAGGCCAAGAATACAACAGCTGGCAGCTATCTCCAAAGATGGGAAGATTGATTTCATTACTTAAAGATCCTGTCAAGCTTCTCCAGGAAGCACAGTCAGGTGGGACTCTGGGCCCAGAGCAGGCAGACGTGACAGAAGCTATTCCTGTGCTCTGTCACAATGGCTGTTTATGGCCTGGCAAGCAGCACAATCCAGCATGAGCCTCCTTACAACCAGGGCTGAAAGTGGATGAGGTACCTACCACAAAGGAAGGAAGAGAGCTACTGAGACGTTTAGGTGTGCTCCAGTGGGTTTACACACCTTCCATCTTCACAGGACAGAGGCAACACTCATCTAGCCCTTAACCCCAGCTTGACTCTATCTGGTCTATGAGGAGCTGCCTCGTGCACAAAAGTTTCTCTACCTTCACGTCACAGACACACTTTGGGCCCAGGCACTGCCTGTGCACCTTGTATCAGCATTATGAGGACCCCTGCCCCATCATATCTGCAGTGACTACTTCATGCCCTCTTGGACCAAACATAGACTTCTCTACCTGCTGAAAGACACCTTCACCGTTAACACCCAGGATAGCCATGGAGACTGGCCCACCAACCTTGACTAATCGCTAGCTGGCATTTGCCTAGTAGGCCACCTCCACCGCAGTTTCTATGGCCTGCACCTCCTGGAAAACTCAGTTGTGCTGGGCAGCCATCTGGGATGGACAAAACCTGAAACTCTGACTTCACTGGACCACCTCCAAGATCACACTTTTGTATCTACAACATCCTCCAGTGCACAGTGTCTGCAGCCATTACTGCTTAGTTCTGAGTTCTCCTGGTCCTCCTCTTCCATTTTGGCCTGTCATTGCTCTGCAATCAAGCAGCTCCAAGCCTGCTACTGCCAAGTCCATTCAGCTCCTTTTATGTCCCTAGAGCCATTTTCCAAGCCCCAGTTTGCCTGCTGTCTTTCACTGCTCCAGGTGGCCCAACATTCCACATCGACATGTTGCTTCTTGAGACCTACTCACTGATTACTCAGCACTGAAGTCACTGACAATTTCCACCACAGGGTCATTTTGGTCACCCACTGAGTGGCCAAACCTGGCTTGCTGAGCATCCCTTCACCAACCTTCAGCCACTTGTCCACTCTTCACAATCAAGCCCTGGTTACTGTCAACTGCCCCTCCTTTGCCATTAGTGTGACTGCCCCCTATCCATGGTGAGACTGCCCCCTATCCATAGTGAGACTTCCCCCTATCCATTGGTGAGACTGCCCCCATCCATGGTGAGACTGCCTCCTATCCATGGTGAGACTACCCCCATCCATGGTGAGACTGCCCCCTATCCATGGTGAGACTGCTCCCTATCCATGGTGAGACTACCCCCATCCATGGTGAGACTGCCCCCTATCCGTGGTGAGACTGCCCCCTATCCATGGTGAGACTGCCCCCTATCTGTGGTGAGACTGCCCCCTATCTGTGGTGAGACTGCCCCCATCCATGGTGAGACTGCCCCCTATCCATGGTGAGACTGCCCCCTATCCATGGTGAGACTGCTCCCTATCCATGGTGAGACTCCCTATCCATGGTGAGGTGCACCCATCCGTCTCACCTATCCATGGTGAGACTGCTCCATATCCATGGTGAGACTGCTCCCTATCCATGGTGAGACTGCCCCCATCCATGGTGAGACTGCCCCCTATCCATGGTGAGACTGCCCCTATCCATGGTGAGACTGCCCCCTATCCATGGTGAGACTGCTCCCTATCCATGGTGAGACTGCCCCCATCCATGGTGAGACTGCCCCCTATCCATGGTGAGACTGCCCCCTATCCACGGCTGGACGCTGCTCTCATGATCTCCCTTAATTGCTCAACTGGATGCTGGACTTGCCATATCCCCTCTGCCGATGCAGTTTAACTCCCACCAGATAGTTCCAAGGATGCCACTCATTCCTGTCTTTCCTTCATAATATGCTTTCTGCAGGACACCCTAATGCTGATTGGGGTACCTGGACTCGCTGGCTGGGCACCTCTCACCTGGCTGCCCAAAGAAGGTGTAGAGGTCCTGTTCTAGTGACTCTCCCTTACTCCTGTCTACAAGTCTCACCCACTCCCTTCTTGGATTCCCTTACCTCTACCCCGACATGGGTAGAAGTCCCCCTAGTGTTCTGGGCCTCCATCCCCTTCCCTTTCTTGATGCCACAAGCATGCAGTGGGGGCAGTTGTGGCCGCCATCTTGCTAAAGATTATATTCTAGTTACAGGGAGGATTTGGGAGTATAGAATAGATTTCTAAAGCTGTGTCAGCAGTCCTGAAATAGAAAGAAAATTTAATAATTTTTAAATTTAAAATAATAAGAAAATACAATATTTTGTGTAAGAAATAGATTGGCTTTAAGGTACCACTTTCTAGAAATTATAATACAAGCAGCTGTAGAATGGAAAAATTGTTCATTCTAAATGGTTCTTAATTAAAAAGAAAAAATAATTCTAGTTTAGGCATAATCTGTATGAATGGATAGCCTTCTCAGAACTCCCCAAATTCCCCTTCTTATGTAATTTTCTTTCCTTTCCTTTCCTTCCCCCTCCCTTCCTTTCCTTTCTTTTCCTTTTATTCCTTTCCTTTTTCCCTCCCCTCCCCTCCCCTCCCCTCCCCTCCTCTCTCCTCTCCTTCCCTCCCCTCATCTCTCCTCTCCTCCCCTCCCCTCTCCTTTCCTTTCTTTCAGGCCTGGTTGTCCTTGGTGCTTTCATCACTCAGTGCATTGTCTAATGAGCTAACAGTTTTCAATTCAGTATTCATTGTTTCAATTTTTAAAAAATACCTTTCGCAGACAATTTTGTGTTTAGCTTGAATTTATTTTAGATCAACTTATTTTAAATTAAAAGGTTACGAAACTTTTATGTCTTTACTCTGCTATATGATGTCATGCAATTTCATTGCCATGAATTTAAAAGGCTCATAGAAACAGAATACTAAAATACTACCAATATTAGAAATAATATGACTGTATAATGTTACAGACTACCGAGCCAAATGGTGGATATGGAAAGGTGCCTGAATTGTACAAAGGCAGGTTATTTGTCAAGGCAGTTTACTTGGACCATCCTGATCAGAAAAATTACTCACTGTCCTCATATTGAAAATCAAGCGAAGCCTGGACTTAATTTTGACGGAGTAAAAAAGCTAGTTGATAGTGTGGAGGGGGATAGGAACCTCAGGAGAACGCACCTGGACTATTTCTCAGCTTGGTTTTGACACATGGGGTGTGTTGCAAGTAATTTATTACTAATAGTGAAAGCACTAAATTTGCACATGATCTGCCTTCTAAAAATACATACATTTGAGTGTAGTCAAGGTTATCTCAATGATATCATTGCTCTCATGTTCTTACAAGTATGTTTTCTTAAGTGAGAGAGAAAGATTGGTGTTAGCAAAAGTAGCACAGAATGCCACATAATCAATAGCTTGTTTATCAATATCCCCAGAAACATTGTAGAGAGCAAGCCTAACTAGTATATAGCCAATATATGTGGCAATTAAAAATGATTACAACGTTTTATTTTCAGGAAAAATGTATTTGAGTTTTGTGAAAATTATGGTATACCAGTGAGAGTGTGTCACCTGTGAGACTATTATCAATAATATGCTGTGACATGAAAAACTGTGAGCGTTCAAAGCTCTTATCATGGCCAGAAAAGGGAACCCTGAATAGAGTCAGGCAAATACCCTGGCTTTGGGGAAACTTTAAAAAAATTCAAGGAAAAAAATTGTTTTGACCCATGAAATTGAGTCTCAAATAAGATTATGGCTAATGAAGGGAGATTTTTTAAAACCAAGAAATAATTCAAATAAAATGGGAGACAGCTCAGGAAAGTTGAATCGTTGTCTATTTATCTCAAATTTTAAATGACATGTTTATAAGATATAAGAAGGGAGAGTAACCAAAGGTGAATAGGGAAATGTAGCAAATCTACTATAAAAGTTCTATAAAGTAAGACCCAAATGAATAGAGGATTTTAAAAAAGGTAAATGTGGCCTTTTTTTGAGAAAAAAAAAAGGTAAAGATGATTTTGAGGAAAAAAAAAAGGTAAAGGTGACCTTTTTTTGAGGAAAAAAAAAAAAGGTAACAATGACCAAAAGGAGCCATGAGGCTTTATTTTATTTTATTTATTTATTTTTCTAGAGATAGGGTCTCACTGTATTGTCCAGGCTGTAGTGCAGTGGCATGATCATGGCTCACTGCAGCCTCAACCTCCTGGCCTAAAGCTGTCCTCTCACCCTGACCTCCCAAAGGGCTGTGATTATAGCCATTAGCCACTGCACCAGACGGATGCTTCTTTTAGTCAAAAAGAACAAGGAGGGGAGAGTGACAACAGCAAGATGTTGAATGGGAAGGTCCCAGACTTCACGTCCCTTCAACAAAATATCCAACTAACAACTATCCACAGACAAGAACTTATGTGAAAAAACCCCTAAATTGGGAATGAGCCTGACACTAGTGTGGACCACAGAACTGGATAAAAACCACATTAAAATGGTAAGAGAAATGGTCTTATTTTGACCGCATCTCTCCTCCCTTCCCCCCAAGTTGGCAGAGGGCCACACAGACAGAATTCCCCTGGGTCCCATGATTCTATTTTATTTATCCTTGAGCCATAACATTTTATTGGTAGATCAGGGAAGAGCCAGGAGTAAGTGTCCCTTCCTTCCCATCCTCCTACCCAGGAGACACCCTCTAAAGGAGAGCAGAAGCCCAGGAGCCTGCCTCCTTAGAGGATCTTGGAGGTGGACAGGCTATTGTAGTGCTCTTCCTGGCCCTCGAGCAGGCTGAGGTAGGTGGCGAGCTCCTGCTCCAGCCACAACTTGATGTCCATGAGCAGCTGGTACTCCTGATTCTGCCTCTCACTGTCAGCTCGCACATCGCCCAGCTGAGCTTCAATACTGCTGATCAGCGCCTGGATCTGCGCCAGCTGTGGTCCAAAGCGTGCTGGTGACCTTCCAAGGCGGCTTTCATGCTAAGCTGCCACTGCAGCTCAATCTCAAGACCCTGGAGGTTGCACCGCAGGTCGGTGACCTGGGACCTGTTCATCTGGAGCTGCTCCATGTGGCCAACAACTTCCCAGTTCAGTTCCTCAGTGCAGCTGGTGAACCAGCGTTCAGCATCCTTTCGGTTCTGCTTGGCATGACCTCATATTGGCTCTGCATGTCACTCAGGATATTGGTGGCATCAGCGCCCAGAGCCGAATCCACTTCCACACTGATCTGGCCTCCCACCTGGCCCCTCAGGGCATTAATTTCCCCCTCATGGTTCTTCTTCAGGTAGGCCAGCTCTTCCTTCAGCCCTTCGGTCTGCATCTCCAGGTCGGTCCTGGCCAGGGTCAGCTCAACCAGCACCCCGTGCAGGCCATTATGTCAGCCTCCACACTCACGAGCAGAGTCTGCTCCCTCTCATACTTAGTTCAGAAGTCATCTGCAGCCAGACAGGCATTGTTGATCTGCAGGACAATCCTGGAATTCTCAATGATGTCACCAAGAATCTTGTAGCACAGGTACTCGATGGTCCCGTAGTAGTGGCTGTAGTCATGGGAGGGCCTGGGGCACATGATTTTAAAATGGGAAAACAACAAGAGACAGACATCCAGCTTCCCTAGCATTCTGAGGTGCATTCCTGGAAGCTCAGACCAGTCTTGCCTTATGGGGGACACTGGGAGTAATGGCATGGTTAGACTGTGTGGGGTCAGTTAGAAACAAAAAAAGGAGGCAGAGCTCACAGTGACCAGTGTGCAGATCTTGGCAGTAGCTCTGTGTTCCTGCCAGCTGTGGTGCCTAGTCAGAGATACCAGCCAACAGCACAGCCCAAGTCCAAAGCTGGACTGATCACTCCCAGAATCATGGTGGGAAGTTCAAGCTGGCTTTAGACTCTAGACATCCAGCATCCACGACCAGCCTCAGAGCCTATTTCAAGGCCCTGCCTACTCAGGGAGATGCCCACAACATTGCATTTCTTCAAAGCACAGGTGCCAAACCTGCCTGACATGGGAGGCCAAAAAGTGGCTTGATCTGGCCCCAGAGCCCACATCAAGGCACCACCCAGGCAGGGCAACAAGCCTCAACTGTGCATTTCTATGGAGTATAGCCTCTGATCCCATTTGTCCCGAATGGCAACTCTGCTAGCATCAAAACCCAGCCTGCAGCCCTGCCCAGCTGTGGAACCCAAACAGTGATACCACCCAGCCAGGGATATACCCTGTTACCTGGCTGATCAGGGACCATCATGTTGCTTGGCCATCAGCTTCACCTGATAGCAGAGCCCAGCCAGTGGTCTCACTTCACAGCAGAGCCCAGCCAGCAGTCTCAGACAACCTCAGAGCAACGGCAGTGGCCCAACCAACCAGAGAACCCAACAGCAACTCTACCTACTGTGGCCATTACTAGCTGATCTATCCAGAATCACAGGGTAGACTAAATAGTGAAAGTCTATCCCTGCCAAAGAACACCTGTAGACTGTAAGAGGTGGCTGTCTCCTCAAATACACAGACACCAACCCAGGACACAAGGATTATGAAGAATCAGAAAATCATGACACCTCCAAAAGAAACTAATAAAGCTCCAATGATGGACCATAAAATAAGGGAGTTCTATAAAATGACTGACAGAGAACTCAGAATAATTCTTTTAAAGAAGCTCAGTGAACTACACAAATATATTGACAGAAAATTAAATGAAATTTAGAAAACAAACATGAACAAAATGAGATGTTTGACAAAAAAATAAAGAAATAGGTACTTTTAAAAAAATTAGAAATCCTAGAGATGAGGAATACAATTACTGGACTGAAAACACTGCATAGAAAACTTCATCAGCAGACTCAGTCAAGATAAAGAACCAGTGATCTCAAAGACAGAACATTTTAAATTATTCAGTCAGAGGAGAAAAAAGAATAAAGAATGCCTACAGGAATTATGCAACACCATCAATAGAACTAACATGCATATAATAGGAATTCAAGAAGAAGAGAGAAAAAAAGTGTCAGAAAGCATATTTAAAGAAATGGTGCCTGAAAACTCCCCAAATTTGGGAGAAAAGATACCTAGGTACAGTAAGTGCAGGAGTTTGCAATCAATTTCAACTCAAAGAAGAGTTAACCAAGACATGTAATAATCAAACTATCAAAAATCAAAGACTAATTAAAAATTCTGAGAGCAGCACAAGATAAACATATCACATACAAGGTAGTCTCAATGTCAGTGGATTTCTCAGCAGAAATGAGGGAGAAATAAAAGCTTTCCTAGACAAAGAAAAGCTAAGAGAGCTCATTACCATAAGCTAAGGGAGCTCATAAGGGTACAAAGTTTCAGTTAAACAGGAGGAAGGAATTATTTTAGATATAGTGTATAGCATGGTAACTATATTTAATAATAATGTATATTTCAAAATTGCTAAGACAATATATTTTAAATGTTCTTGCCACAAAAAAGATAAGTATTGAAGTGATGGATATATTAATTAGCTTGATTTAGTCATTTCATGTTGTATACATATGTCATAACATTACTTTGTACCCTGTATATATATATACATATGTGTATATATATATGTGTATATATATATATATAAACACACACACATACATACACACACACAAGGTAAATACATATATACACACACACAAGGTATATATGTGTATGTATATACACACACACAAGGTATATGTATATATATACACACAAGGTATATGTGTGTGTATATACACACACACACACACACACAATTACAATTTGTCAATCCATGATTTCAAAAAGAACAAGGAAATAAGTCTACTTCTTAGAGATGATAGCAGAAGGTATATCAGAGACAAGACAGCATCATTCAATTCTTTTTTTTTCTCCTCTCTTTTCTAGATTGGGGTTTAAATTGAATATGGAGAATAAACTATGAAAAGTAGAAATTGCAGCCCAAGATAAAAGAGGGATTGGCAAGCTAACTCCAAGATGTTTAAAATGAGACCAGATAAATTATGTACCAGGGTGCAAATAGAATTTCCAGCTATAAACTGTTTGGTAGTCTTTGAAAAGTCATGGCAAATAGGAGAGGTGCCACAAGACCACAGATGGGTACATTTCATGTTTATTTTTAAGAGAGGAACAGAAAGGATTCAGGAAATTATAGACAACTTGATTCATATTTGCAGATTTAACAACAGATTGTTAAAAATGCTCTAGTTTTTGAGCATTCAGAAATGAATGTTAAGGTCATTAGTAACCAACAAATGTGAAGTAAGGACAAGTTTGATACACTCATCTGATTTATTTTTTATGAGGATACTAAGCACATAGATCAACGGATTTCTTGAAAATCAAATTGAAACAGCTAGCAATTGGTATCACCGTGATGGAGCAATATGGGATTGTCTCTTTTCAAGAGTGTCTATTAATGGCTTTATAGTCTCTAGTAGCGTGCCTTTACCCTATTTTATTCAGCATTTTCACCAATGGCTGGATGAACATAGAGGCTTCTCAACTTTGTAGAGGGCATGAAAATAGACAGTGTATCTTATTTCAGTGCTTCTCACACTTTTTCACTGAATATTCCTAATGGAGGGGAAAATAAACATGTGCTCCTGGAGAAACCAGGACAATTGTCCTAAGTGGCTGCCAGAAGAGAGACATTTCTACAAATTTTATTTTATTTAAACATTATGTAAATTTTGCATTCTATGCCATGATTTTTTAAAATATAAAATAATTCTACCTCTAGTCAATCTTATTTCTCTAGTAATTGGCATTTCTGTGCCTTTGAATATCTCCCATATTCTCCCAAAGTGCTGAGATTCCAATAAATGTTTTGCCATAGCTGTAAGCCTGTGGATATGGAGAGCGAAAGCAGGAAGGCTTGAGAGACTACAAGAAAGAGAAGAGGAGAGCTTAGGATGTATGCGAAGCACAAACAAAATTACATCCAGAAGGTGAAAACCAAACCAGTGCCAATATTCTGAACAAAGGCCTGAGACTTGGTAATTTGTAGCATGGCCTACAGGGAAGGGGCATGAAAGGGAGAGGACCAGAGTTGGAAGCCCTGGAAAAGCATTGCTACTAGGGTAAAAGGAGCTAGAGAAGGCGTGATGTCCTTCAAAAACATGACAATAGGAGAAAAGAAGGAAGCAAAATGGAGAAAATTAAGTCCAAAGTATAGACATTGAGCATTTAATACAATTAATTGTAGATCAAGACTAAAACAAGAGTGATCATATGGGTAGAAGAATAATATGTAAACATTATTTATACATACTGATAGAGTAGAAAGAATGCACCTAAAAGCAGGAAGAGAAGGAAGTCAGAAATAAGAGAGTGGAAAAAATAATTGCCTGCTGTATAAGTAATATGTGGTAGTCAAAAAATACTATTTAAAAATTATAGATCACAAAGAAAATGTACATATACATAACGGAGTACTATTCAGCCATAAAAATAATGAGATCCTGTCATTTGCAACAGCATGGATGGAACTGGAGATCATTATGTTAAGAAAAATAAGCCAGACACAGAAAGACAAACATCACGTGTTCTCACTTATTTGTGGGATTTAAAAATCAAAACAGTTGAACTTGTGGACATAGAGAGTAGAAGGATGGTTACCAGACGCAGGGAAGCATAGTGGGGGGATGGAAGAGAGGTAGAGATGGTTAATGGGTACAAAAAAAGTTAGACTGAATAAAGACCTACTATTTGAAAAAAAACAGGGTGACTGCAGTCAATAATAATTTAATTGTACATTTTGAAATAACTAAAAGAGTATAATTGGATTGTTCGTAACACAAAGGAAAAATGCTTGAAGGGATGGATACCCCATTCTCCATGATGTTATTATTAGGCATTCAAAACATCTCGTGTGCTCCATAAATATATACACCCACTATGTACCCACAAAAATTAAAAACTAAAAATTATAGACCAGATAGTAAAATGTTAGATAGAAAAAAAGAGAATGGAAAGAGACTATAAGAGACACTAAAACAACAAGAACAAAATGCATCTCTTCCTAAAAGCCAGCTTAAAACAAAGACAAACAAGAGATCAAATATAGAAAGACTAAAACTATCAATGTTTATTTTTTTGTATTTAAAAGAAAAACATTTTATTGACTCTTTAAATAAAACTCTATCCACAACAATAAAGGAAAATGGGGAAATATGACCTGTCACACAATCACATAAAAATTTACGTCACAGATAAAATACTACAATCGCTTCATGAAATAACTTTCATCCATCAACCATGGAGATGGGCAAGGAAATATAACCATCCTCATTTTATAGAGGTAAGAACAAAGATAAAGATAAGAATATATAAATGCAGAGGTTAGAATTATAAAAAGAGTCAGCCTTGCCAAAGTCTCAGGAAAGGCTCAGCAGTACAAATGACTCCAGGTTAGAAGTAGGTGAGTTCCTAACAAGAGGTCATGGATTTCTGGACAAAGGTGGTGTCCTTACAGGCACCATGCCTGGAAAATAGCTAGTAAGATAGGCGCCTACTATATTTGGCAACCTCAAATAGAATTGGCCTCTCAATTTTCTTTTTTTTCTATATATATATATATATTTTTTGTTATACTTTAAGTTCTAGGGTACATGTGCGCAACGTGCAGTTTTGTTACATATGTATACATGTGCCATGTTGTTGTGCTGCACCCATTAACTCCTCATTTACAATAGCTATATCTCCTAATGCTATCCCTTCCCCCTCCTCCCACCCCACAACAGGCCCCTTCCTGAATCCAAGTGTTCTCATTGTTCAGTTCCCACCTATGAATGAGAACATGTGGTGTTCGGTTTTTTGTCCTTGTGATAAAAACTATCAATCTTTAAAGATAAAGAAAAGATCAAGCAAAACACATCGGGTTAGTTATAAGATTAAGAAAATTAGGCTGCCATCAGACTTCTTAAAAACAGCACTTAAACTAAGGTAACAGCAGAACTGCATTTTTAAATTGAGGCGTATTCTCAAAAATAACTGGCTTGTATTCTTTAAAAATATCTGTGTCATTAAGCATTTTAAAAAGGCTGGGAAATTGTTCTAGATTAAAGAAGACTAAAGACTAAATAACGACTAAGTAACATGTTATCCTGGGCAGGAGGGGAAGAACGTAAAAAGGACATTATGGAGATAATGGAAAATATTAAGATAAGAATGGCAGATTAGGTAAAAGTATTATATCAATGCTAAATTTTTTGAATTTAATAACTGATTGAGATTATGTAAGATAATGAAGGCAATATTCAATATTCATGTTCTTAGGAGAGACACATATAATAATAATAAAAAAGGAGCAAATGCAATCTATGCTGTCTATAATGAGGCCTTGATTTTTTGATGTATTAGATGTATGCAAGCTATATTTTAATATATATTTGGAGATAGCAAGAGATTAACATTGCAAATGTAGCATAATCTTAACAACTGGTGAATCTGGATAAAGGATATTTTGGAACTCACTTGCAAGTTTTCTGTGAGTTAGAAATTATTTCAAAGTAAAAAAAAATTTATTTAAAAGATGATAGTAGATCAACTACTAAAATGAAGGTAGGAAATAAAAACCCTGCTCAAGCCTCATCCTATCTTTATAACAGAAATCTGTTATAAAACTTTTTTTGTTCAGGTTGGTGATGCTTATGATTTTTATAATCATTTTCCACATGTTCAACATGTACTGGAGAAAAGCACCAGCACCTTGATGAACATGATTAGATCAGGGTCCTTAGCTTGTTGAGGAAAAACTAACTTTGAAGGAGAAGTAGTGAAAATTGAAAAATTGAAATTTGATATTAATGTAATTAAGGTGCATCTTTAATTCAATGGTGCTCATGTATTATTAGAATATGACTACTTTAGGGAGGCAGGCAATTTTGGTATTTGCTTAAACAGGATCTATGCCATTTAATAGCCAATGTCCAAACACAGCAGCTGATTCTCTTTCTTCTGGACAAATGGAGTCCTTAACCCTGGGATATACTTATAAACTCAACATTTATTGAGTTAACTTCCCTTAGGGCTCCCATCACACCCCACCCCTGCCCACACATCCCTGCCAATCCTGATATCATTTTACCCTTAGCAGAATCTTATTTCACTCTAGCAATGTGCACATTTGTAAAATGGAACATCTAGGGTTTTCATTTTCAAAGCATTGCTCAAGAGGTGTGTCCCACATCTTGGCTTTTAAAAATATATGTGTGTGTCTGTGTGTGCATGATTGCATGCCTGCAAGATAGTCTGCTTCTTGATAAACTGGCCCTGTAGTCATCTCTTGGAGTTCAAATAGGTTTCTTGATGTATGGCTATAAGTTTATTGACTGTGATCACATTTTAGAGACCAAACTCTTGGAAGGAAATGACCATGTCTGTCAACTTACTAAAACAACGTGTGGTTGTTTCACGTGTGTTACCATGATGACCAAGGAACTAAAGTCTTTTGGAGAATACAGTTTTATGGTTCTGATATTCACTAATATTTTTGACTAGTCTGAGCCAAATTATTATCTTTTTTTACTTGGTGGCAGAAAAAAGTCCTTATAAAGGATAATCGAAGATTAAAATGGATCAGTTATTTCCCCATCAAAAAATTAAGATCTCATTATAGTCAGCATAGATTTCCTTGATTTGTTCATTCATTCATTTACCTATTCACTGGGAAGATACTTTATGTTCTCGTAATTAGTGAAGGCTGGAAAAGAAAAAATAATGTTAGTATCCTTTTTAAGCCAATTATATACAACTGGTTCGCTTTGTAATGCAAAAATTACTAACCATGAATTTTATATAATTAATTAACAGCTGAACACAGCGTAGAGAAGGAGCTCAAAAGACACTTGCTTGAAATAATTCCATAAACTGCATCAGCCTTTGTCAGGCTCAGCCCTTAAGCTTGTAGGCCCCATAGTGAGGCTGTTTGAAGGGTCTACTTCCTTTCAAAGGGGCCCACGTATTCTTGGGAGTGTGCAAACGCAGGCACGTGGCCTAGAGTATCACAGACAGGAGGTATTTGTTTTGTTTTTCCAAAACGGAAGCAGCTTTTTTTGTGTTTGGTGATTGTTAATGTATGAATTTTTTTCAAGCAACTTAGAAATGTGTAGAGTCAAAAGTTCTTACTTGTTCCATCTGCCACTTCTCCTAAAGATAACAACGATTA
This sequence comes from Homo sapiens, assembly GCF_000001405.40. NCBI lineage: Eukaryota > Metazoa > Chordata > Mammalia > Primates > Hominidae > Homo > Homo sapiens. The sequence continues at coordinate 109,887,486 of NC_000004.12, forward strand.
GTAATTTGTATATACCTTTCTAGACTTTTAAATTTAAATAAACATTTTTTACATTAAGTAAGATGAAATTACATACGTTGTTCTGAAATCGGCTTTTAAAAAATAGCAATATATTGATGGCATCATCTCTTGTCAGTAGATAAAGACCAACTTCATCCCTTTACAATTTTCTCTAATAAAGATGAAGCACATTAATTTAGCCAAGTTCCTATTGATGAATAATGAGGTTGCTTCCATATTTTTGATATTATAAAGAATGCTCCAGTGAATATCCTAATTTGTTCATGTTTGCCTACATGTTCTGTTTTCTCAGGATAAACCCCTAGACAGGATTGTTGAGTCAAAGTGTATTTAAAAATTATAGTACGTATTTTCAAACTATTCTCAGCTGAAAGATCGGACTCCGGTAGTGCATTAAAGTGTCTGTTTCCCACACCATTGAAATCACTGACTTAATCAAATCATGGCAATCAGATAAGTACTCAAACATTTCTTCATTATTTCAATTTCAATTTCTTTTTTCTCGCTGAGATCGAATATCTCTTCATCTAGTTTGGTTGTTTATGCTTCTTTGTGAATAGTTTATTTGGAGACTTTACGTGTTTTTCTACTGGGTTGGTAATCTTTGCCTTTTTAGTTTGTAAAAACATTGAACTCTTAAGGATATTAACTCTTCATCTGCTATATATACTGCAAATATTCATCCCCTGTTTTTCACTTGTCTTTCAGCTTTTATTTATGAAGTTTTAAATAAAGAAGTTTTACATCATTGTGTAGTATCAGTTCATATTACTCTTATGGTTTCTGGCTTTATTACCATGCTTGAAAAGATCTCCTCATCCTGAAATTGCTTAGATATTCTCCAAAAGTTCTGGACTTTTCATAATTGTATTTTACTTTGGAGTTTCTAATCTATATAAAATTTAATTTATGTATGATATGAAATAGAGGGCAAATATAATGCCAAACGGGGTGAATTGAAATTAACTTGGTTTGTAAATTTAAAAATATTTTTTGGAACTATACAGTAGAAGGATCAGACTTGAAATGTATGAAATGTAATACATTTACAATAAGTGTTAGGGAAAATAATATAGCTGAGAAAAACATACCTCTCTGATTATCTCAGTCATCTCTGAGGTGAATTGATTGTGAGGGTTACTACTTATGAATGGTGGAACACCGAACCACAAGACGGATATATGATCTGCTTAGGTAATCTGCATCATGGGACAAGTGAATGACATATGTTTTGGCCATTTAGACGAAACATTCTATACATTCTAAGAATTATTGAGGGGGTGGAGTTCCATTTTCTTCTCTAAAGCAGAGTTCTCAATCTTAAGTGTTCCATTGGAATCACTTGCTTTTATTTTATTTTATTTTATTTTTTTGCCATCAGCTTTCTCAGGTTAAAGTAATCACTTGCTTTTAGAAATGCTCCTGCCAGATCCTGGAGATTCTGATTTTATTGGTCAGGGCCTAGCTGTCTTGGATTTTAAAAGCTCACCAGGTGATTATATAGTGCGTGGCTAAGGTTGAGAACCACAGCCTTAAAGATTCCTAATGATGCCTATCTGATATTATTTGCTAAAAGTTTAACTATGATTTAAGTAATATTTCTCTAAATTTCAGTTCTAAGGCCTTCCCACCCTGGGCCATAATCCATTGTTCTAAGGAAACCACTAGGACCTTGGTATTGGGTTGATAAAATCTACACAATCTTCTGAGTGCATTTTAATCTACACAATGGATTTAAGAGAACTGAAGAACTGATCAGTCTAATAAAAGTTTTCAGCATAATTTCCCATGACAGTGAATTTATTAATTTGTTTTATAAGTATTACTTTCTACTATGATTTAATTGCACATTCAAAATGGAAAACTTTTGCAAGAGCTTTGTAAGGCAAAATGCTAACATGAGTGTGTTCGTTTTTCATTTTCCTTTTTAATAAAGCAACATAACAACATACCAATTATGGATACTAGAGCCCCTGTTGGCACACAGGTTTCCTTACTTTCATGCGGGTGAATTACTCAAAGCCAAGTGTTAGACTAGCAGAACACAATTTGCTTTAGATTTACTGACTTAAATATCCAACAGACTTTTGCTCAACATAAACAGCATAAAACAAATGCATTCAATCTAAGGGGATCTCAGGTGAAACACATTCCCTTGAGCATCAACTGGACATTCTTTGCTCCAGGTAGTAAACGTGGTTGGGGAAATAGCTGTGGATATCATTGTTTCTGTGCCCGAGAAATGTCACCTTCTCAGGAATGCAATTAACTGAGTGTTCAGGAACATAAAAAAGCATGGGAAATAAACTGGTGGGTGCTGAAAATTTTCCTTTCTTCATTTCAAAATAAATAGCATGTTTATAACAAACTAAGTAAAAGGCCTATTATTGGGTTTTGGTGAGCCTGGTGTTCTCTAACTCTTGATTTGGTTCCTTTATAATCAGTAACTTCCAAGTGAATGTTAAGTAAGGGTCAGTAAATGTGAATTACCCCAAGCTATGTGGCGTGTTGGAAAAAATAAGAACAAGGGGTCATCAAATGCATCAAATGAAGTTCTAGTTTAAAATAAATTAATTCTAGGACAGATCAATTTGTTTAGATATTGTTCAGCCAACAAATTCATTCCTATGACCTGAGCCAAAGTCTTCTGACTTTACTCTCAGTTGGCCTCCTCCTTGTCCCTCCCATCCAAGAACAGCATGGACAGCTGTGACCCAAAACAGGGTGTGTCTCTGGCTATGGGACTCAGATGCCACATTCTAGATTTTCTCTCTCATCATGGCATTTGAGGTTGAGATCCACATGTTGGCTTTGCTTCCTGGGCAGCTGGGAGGTTGTATAGGGTCACAGGGCTTCTCACAGGAGGGCATTGCTTCTCCTTCCCAGTGGCCTAATTTCCCTCTAGGGTAGAAATGACACATTTCTGTTCCCCTTGCAGATTCCTCAAAAGTTTCCAAATGATCAGGTGGTTTTTACCTTGGACTGATGCTATATTTTGGGGACAATTTCCACAAGGGAGAGGCACTTTACATGACCATCAGCCTTGTGAAGGCTATTATTGCAGCATTTTTGAAAACTATTTGCCTATGAGTTGATTTTTTGAGTCTTTATGTTTGTATACACACACACACACACACACGTGCCACAAGATTTTTTTTCTGCTTTTTTTCACTTTTAACCCACTGGTCATTCATTTATTGACTTGACAAAGACATACTGAGTGCCTGCTCTGTTGCAGACAGTGTCTCTGGATTGACAAAATGTCTGGTTGGTCATATGACTTAGGAATATTGTAGAAGCACTTTGGAGAGGTTTCCTCTGAGATCATTAACTTTGAATAAAAAATAAGGCAGTCATCAAGCAGTAATATATTTTCAGGACTCAAAAAAAAAAAAGAAGTGGGAAAATTTTAAGATCCAGGCTCTTTTCCCAGCACAAGCCTTCTCAGTTATGTGATTTTGAGTTAATCTGAAGGGTTTGTTGTAGTTTCATTTGTTCCTGGAGTACTATAGGAATCAGATTCCTACATTGAAACTACACCAAACCCTTCAGATAAATGTCAAGGCTATCTCATATGTTTGTTGAATCCAGAAGATCCTACAGCTATCATATATAAATTATCAGTGATATAATCAAAAAAGATTTCTAACTTTTAATTTGATTTTATGGTTCTGGTACTCCTCTCGGTAAATGTAGGAGATAAGAAATTGTTTTTCTCCATAAATGAAAAAAATCTTCAATTTATAGCCCAAAGACATGTCTTTGTCTTTTAATCCTATGCCAATATTACCCTCTTGGGGCTATGTTTTCTGCCACTCTCAAGACTAGGCATTTATGTTTTCCTCAAAGAATGGTGATTCATGAGACCAACTCTTCTCATTGAAGACTCAGATGTGGTAAGATTGCTACACATGAAACATTCCACATGGAAACTGGTTTAAAAAATTTATAATGATCAGGGAAATGCAAATCAAAACCACAATTTGATATCACTTTACTCCTGCAAGAATGGCCATAATCAAAAAACCAAAAAACAGTAGATGTTGGTGTGGATACGGTGAAAGGGAAACACTTCTACACTGCTGCTTGGAATGTAAACTAATACAACCACTATGGAAAACAGTGTGGAGATTCCTTAAGGAACTGAAGGTAGAACTACCATTTGATCCAGCAATCCCACTACTAGGTATCTACCCAGAAGAAAAGAAGTCATTATATGAAAAAGATAGTTGCACACACATGTTTATAGCAGCACAATTCACAATTGCAAAAATGAGGAACCAACCCAAATGCCCATCAATCAACAAGTGGATAAAGAAACTGATATATATATATAAATATATATATATTGCCCACATTAGTCTTGAACTCCTGGCATCAACTGATCCTTCTGCTTTGGCCTTTCAAAGTACTAGGATCATAGGCCTAAGCCACTGTGCCTGGCCAGCACATTAATTTTTTTATCAACACTTCACGTATTTCCAGCATAGGAAGAGAAACACAAAGCCTCAACAGGACACTTTTCCCCAGACAATGACTAAAAATGCATATATATATCAATATCAATATATATAAATGCATATATATATCTATATATATATTGATCAGAAACTGATCTATATATATATATATATATACACACAATGGAATACTACTCAGCCATAAAAAGGAATGAATTAACAGCATTTGCAGTGACCTGGATGAGATGGGAGACTATTATTGTAAGTGAAGTAACTCAGGAATGGAAAATCAAACATTGTATGTTCTCACTCTTAAATGGGAACTAAGCTATGAGGATGCAAAGGGATAAGAATGACACAATGGACTTTGGGGACTCAGGGGGAAAGGATGGGAAGGGGGTGAAGTATAAAAGACTACAAATTGGGTTCAGTGTATATTGCTTGGGTAATGGGTGCACCAAAATCTCAGAAACCACCGTAAACAAACACATGTAAACAAACACAACCTGTTCCCCCAAAACCTATGGAAATAAAATATTAAAAAATATATAACTGCATTACATTATTACTTTAACACTTACTTGAATATAAGAAAAACATTTAACACTATAAGACCAACGAACATATAGAAAGTGATGGAAAGTCTCATCTTGAAGAGACACAGCGGTGGGCTAACTCCAGATATTCTCAAAGGAGTTTTGAAAGAAATACTTTAATACATCCATACATACACATCAAAAAATAGACAGAAGGGAAACAAGTAAGGTAGAAATAGAAAACTATCATACAAAATAAAACTGATTAAGCACATGTATTACCAATATATCCTTACTTTCAATCATTATGTTAAGTAAACATCTATTTTTTTAGTCATTGTCCGGGGAAAAGTGTCCTGTTGAGGTTTTGTGTTTCTCTTCCTATGCTGGAAATATGTGAAGTGTTGATAAAAAAATTAATGTGCTGGCCAGGCACAGTGGCTTAGGCCTATGATCTTAGTACTTTGAAAGGCCAAGGCAGAAGGATCAGTTGATGCCAAGAGTTCAAGGCTAATGTGGGCAATCTCTACACAAATTTAAAAAATTAGTCAGGCATGGTGGCATGTGCCTATAGTCCCAGCTTAAGTCTCAAATTAACTTAATTACAATGGGAAATACAGAGACTTGAAATTTTAAGCCATACATCCTCTGGAGAATATTTTTAATCTTAATACCTCAATTTTTAAAGAGAATGTTTGTTTTTGACTCAGAATGTTCTTGACATGAACTATCAGGATTAGGTTCTAGAATCATTACATATATGAAGTCTTGAATTCTGCATGAAATTTTTAGTAGTTTAGCTGTGACTCAGCTAGAAGCAGAACACTCTAAAGAGTCTGATATGGTTTGGCTCTGTGTCCCCACCCAAATCTCATGTTGAATTGTAATCCCCAGTTTTGGGGGAGGGACCTGGTGTGAGGTGATTGGATCATGGGGGCAGATTTCCACCTTGCTGTTCTCGTGATAGTGAGTGAGTTCTCATGAAATCTAGTTGTTTAAAAGTATGTAGCACCTCCTCCTTCACTCTCTCTCTTGCTCTGCCATGTGAAAATTGTACCTGCTTCTCCTTCACCTTCTGCCATGATTATAAGTTTCCCAAGGCATCCCCAGCCATGCCTCCTGTGGAACTGTGAGTAAATTAAACCTCTTTTCTTTACAAACCATCCAGTCTCAGGTAGTTCTTTACTGCAATGTGAGGATGGACTAATACAGTGTGCCTTTAAAACGTTTTTACTACTGGTTTGATCACCAATATCCATGTTTTGCTGTTTAAAGAGAAATTATTTATCAGAGCTCTAGAGCTAGAATAAAGCAAGTTTTATTAATCTGGGTTCCACTAATTAAGTCTGCAAAATTATTTATTTGATTGGAATGGCTTTAGTGTTGCATTGTTTATACAGAAAAATTTTGCTACTTTGCAAATTAGTACGCAAAATTTGTAGTGTCTGATTTATCAAACACTACACTAGTGTCAAAAAAAATCCATTTTTTTGAGAAAAGGAAAGTTCTCAAACTTCTCAGTTTAATTCTGTATTACCAGATATAGCTAATTATGAATATGTTGTTACGCTCTCCTCTTTTTCTTCCATGTAAGTTTTAAAATGCATTTTTATTATGACTCATATTTCATCATATTACAGTATCTAGCACATGGCTTTTCCCTCTTAGATAAGGCACAATTGAATTGGGTCTTAATCAGTTTTTTAAATCTAGAGTAGTGCTTTGCATAAATAAAATATGTGTTGAGTGAATAATATTAACTCAATAACAATAAACATTTATGAGTGCTTTTTAAAATTTTATTATGTTATTGTACTTTAAGTTTTAGGGTACATGTGCACAACATGCAGGTTTGTGACATATGTATACATGTGCCATGTTGGTGTGCTGCACCCATTAACTCGTCATTTAGCATTAGGTATATCTCCTAATGCTATCCTTCCCGCCTCCCCCCACCCCACAACAGGCCCCAGTGAGTGATGTTCCCCTTCCTGTGTCCATGTATTCTCATTGTTCAATTCCCACCTATGAGTGAGAACATGCGGTGTTTGGTTTTTTGTCCTTGCGATAGTTTGCTGAGAATGATGGTTTCCAGTTTCATCCATGTCCCTACAAAGGACATGAACTCATACATTTTTATGGCTGCATAGTATTCCATGGCCTATATGTGCCACATTTTCTTAATCCAGTCTATCATTGTTGGACATTTGGGTTGGTTCCAAGTCTTTGCTATTGTGAATAGTGCTGCAATGAACATACATGTGCATGTGTCTTTATAGCAGCATGATTTGTAACCCTTTGGGTATATACCCACCAATGGGATGGCTGGGTCAAATGGTATTTCTAGTTTTAGATCCCTGAGGAATCGCCACACTGACTTCCACAATGGTTGAACTAGTTTACAGTCCCACCAACAGTGTAAAAGTGTTCCTATTTCTCCACATCCTCTCCAGCACCTGTTGTTTCCTGACATTTTAATGATTGCCATTCTAACTGGTGTGAGATGGTCTCTCATTGTGGTTTTGATTTGCATTTCTCTGATGGCCAGTGATGATGAGCATTTTTTCATGTGTCTTTTGGCTGCATAAATGTCTTCTTTTGAGAAGTGTCTGTTCATGTCCTTCACTCACTTGTTGATGGGGTTGTTTGTTTTTTTCTTGTAAATTTGTTTGAGTTCATTGTAGATTCTGGATATTAGTCCTTTGTCAGATGAGTAGGTTGCAAAAATTTTCTCCCATTCTGTAGGTTGCCTGTTCACTCTGATGGTGGTTTCTTTTGCTATGCAGAAGCTCTTTAGTTTAATTAGATCCCATTTGTCAATTTTGTCTTTTGTGCCATTGCTTTTGGTGTTTTAGACATGAAGTCCTTGCCCATGCCTATGTCCTGAGTGGTATTGCCTAGGTTTTCTTCTAGGGTTTTTATGGTTTTAGGCCTAACATGTAAGTCTTTAATCCATCTTGACTTAATTTTTGTATAAGGTGTAAGGAAGGGATCCAGTTTCAGCTTTCTCCATATGGCTAGCCAGTTTTCCCAGCACCATTTATTAAATAGGGAATCCTTTCCCCATTGCTTGTTTTTGTCAGGTTTGTCAAAGATCAGATAGTTGTAGATATGCGGCGTTATTTCTGAGGGCTCTGTTCTGTTCCATTGGTCTATATCTCTGTTTTGATACCAGTACCATGCTGTTTTGGTTACTGTAGCCTTGTAGTATAGTTTGAAGTCAGGTAGGGTGATGCCTCCAGCTTTGTTCTTTTGGCTTAGGATTGACTTGGGAATGCGGGCTCTTTTTTGGTTCCATATGAACTTTAAAGTAGTTTTTTCCAATTCTATGAAGAAAGTCATTGGTAGCTTGATGGGGATGGCATTGAATCTATAAATTACCTTGGGCAGTGTGGCCATTTTCACAATACTGATTCTTCCTAGCCATGAGCATGGAATGTTCTTCCATTTGTTTGTATCCTCTTTTATTTCCTTGAGCAGTGGTTTGTAGTTCTCCTTGAAGAAGTCCTTCACATCCCTTGTAAGTTGGATTCCTAAGTATTTTATTCTCTTTGAAGCAATTGTGAATGGGAGTTCACTCATGATTTGGCTCTCTGTTTGCCTGTTGTTGGTGTATAAGAATGCTTGTGATTTTTGCACATTGGTTTTGTATCCTGAGACTTTGCTGAAATTGCTTATCAGCTTAAGGAGATTTTGGGCTGAGACGATGGGGTTTTCTAGGTATACAATCATGTCATCTGCAAACAGGGACAATTTGACTTCCTCTTTTCCTAATTGAATGCCCTTTATTTCCTTCTCCTGCCTGATTGCCCTGGCCAGAACTTCCAATACTATGTTGAATACGAGTGGTGAGAGAGGGTATCCCTGTCTTGTCCCTTTTTTCAAAGGGAATGCTTCCAGTTTTTGCCCATTCAGTATGATATTGGCTGTGGGTTTGTCATAGATAGTTCTTATTATTTTGAGATATGTCCCATCAATATCTAATTTATTGAGAGTTTTTAGCATGAAGCGTTGTTGAATTTTGTCAAAGGTCTTTTCTGCATCTATTGAGATAATCATGTGGTTTTTGTCATTGGTTCTGTTTATACGCTGGATTACATTTACTGATTTTCGTATGTTGAACCAGCCTTGCATCCCAGGGATGAAGCCCACTTGATCATGGTGGATAAGCTTTTTGATGTGCTGCTGGATTCGGTTTGCCAGTATTTTACTGAGGATTTTTGCATCAATGTTCATCAAGGATCTTGGTCTAAAATTCTCTTTTTTTGTTGTGTCTCTGCCAGGCTTTGGTATCAGGATGATGCTGGCCTCATAAAATGAGTTAGGGAGGATTCCCTCTTTTTCTATTGATTGTAATAGTTTCAGAAGGAATGGTACCAGCTCCTCCTTGTACTCCTGGTAGAATTTGGCTGTGAATCCATCTGGTCCTGGCCTTTTTTTGGTTGGTAAGCTATTAATCACTGCCTCAATTTCAGATCCTGTTATTGGTCTATTCAGAGATTCAACTTCTTCCTGGTTTAGTCTTGGGAGGGTGTATGTGTTGAGAAATTTATCCATTCCTTCTAGATTTTCTAGTTTATTTGTGTAGAGGTGTTTATAGTATTCTCTGATGGTAGTTTGTATTTCTGTGGGATCAGTGGTGATATCCCCTTTGTCATTTTTCATTGTGTCTTTTTGTTTCTTCTCTCTTTTCTTCTTTATTAGTCTTGCTAGCAGTCTTTCAATTTTATTGATCTTTTCAAAAAACCAGCTCCTGGATTCATTGATTTTTTTGAAGGGTTTTTTTGTGTCTCTATTTCCTTCAGTTCTGTTCTGATCTTAGTTATTTCTTGCCTTCTGCCAGCTCTTGAATGTGTTTGCTCTTGCTTCTCTACTTCCTTTAATTGTGATGTTAGGGTGTCAATTTTGGATCTTTCCTGCTTTCTCTTGTGGGCATTTATGCTATAAATTTCCCTCTACACACTGCTTTGAATGTGTCCCAGAGATTCTGGTAAGTTGTGTCTTTGTTCTCATTGGTTTCAAAGAACATCTTTATTTCTGCCTTCATTTTGTTATGTACCCAGTAGTCATTAAGGAGCAGGTTGTTCAGTTTCCATGTAGTTGAGCAGTTTTGAGTGAGTTTCTTAATCCTGAGTTCTAGTTTGATTGCACTGTGGTCTAAGAGACAGTTTGTTATAATTTCTGTTCTTTTCCATTTGCTGAGGAGCACTTTACTTCCAACTATGTGGTCAATTTTGGAGTAGGTGTGGTGTGGTGCTGAAAAGAATGTATATTCTGTTGATTTGGGGTGGAGAGTTCTGTAGATGTCTATTAGGTCCACTTGGTGCAGAGCTGAGTTCAATTCCTGGATATCCTTGTTAACTTTCTGTCTCATTGATCTGTCTAATGTTGACAGTGGGGTGTTAAAGTCTCCCATTATTATTGTGTGGGAGTCTAAGTCTCTTTGTAGGTCACTAAGGACTTGCTTTATGAATCTGGGTGCTCCTGTATTGGGTGCATATATATTTAGGATAGTTAGTTCTTCTTGTTGAATTGATCCCTTTACCATTCTTGGCCTTCTTTGTCTCTTTTGATCTTTGTTAGTTTAAAGTCTGTTTTATCAGAGACTAGGATTGCAACCCCTGACTTTTTTTGTTTTCCATTTGCTTGGTAGATCTTCCTCCATCCCTTTATTTTGAGCCTATGTGTGTCTCTGCATGTGAGATGGGTTTCCTGAATACAGCACACTGATGGGTCTTGACTCTTTATCCAATTTGCCAGTCTGTGTCTTTTAATTGGAGCATTTAGCCCATTTACATTTAAGGTTAATATTGTTATGTGTGAATTTGATCCTGTCATTATGATATTAGCTGGTTATTTTGTTCGTTAGTTGATGCAGTTTCTTCCTAGCCTTGATGATCTTTACAATTTGGCATGTTTTTGCAGTGGCTGGTATCAGTTGTTCCTTTCCATGTTTAGTGCTTCCTTCAGGAGCTCTTTTAGGGAAGGCCTGGTGGTGACAAAATCTCTCAGCATTTGCTTGTCTGTAAAGGATTTTATTTTTCCTTCACCTATGAAGCTTATTTTGTCTTGATATGAAATTCTGGGTTGAAAATTCTTTTCTTTAAGAATGTTGAATATTGGCCCCCACTCTCTTCTGGCTTGTAGAGTTTCTGCTGAGAGATCAGCTGTTAGTCTGATGGGCTTCCCTTTGTGGGTAACCCAATCTTTCTCTCTGGCTGCCCTTCTTAACATTTTTTCCTTCATTTCAACTTTGGTGAATCTAACAATTATGTGTCTTGGAGTTGCTCTTCTCAAGGAGTATCTTTGTGGCGTTCTCTGTATTTCCTGAATCTGAATGTTGGCCTGCCTTGCTAGATTGGGGAAGTTCTCCTGGAAAATATCCTGCAGAGTGTTTTTCAACTTGGTTCCATTCTCCCCGTCACTTTCAGGTACACCAATCAGACGTAGATTTGGTCTTTTCACATAGTCCCATATTTCTTGGAGGCTTTGTTCGTTTCTTTTTAATCTTTTTTCTTTATACTTCTCTTCTCACTTCACTTCATTCATTTCATCTTCCATCACTGATACCCTTTCTTCCAGTTGATCGCATTGGCTACTGAGGCTCGTGCATTTGTCATGTAGTTCTCGTGCCGTGGTTTTCAGCTCCATCAGATCCTTTAAGGACTACTCTGCATTGGTTATTCTAGTTATCCATTTGTCTAATTTTTTTTCAAGGTTTTTAACTTCTTTGCCATTGGTTCAAACTTTCTCCTTTAGCTCGGAGTAGTTTGATCTTCTGATGTCTTCTTCTCTCAACTCATCAAAGTCATTCTCCATCCAGCTTTGTTCCATTGCTGGTGAGGAGCTGCATTCCTTTGGAGGAGGAGAGGCACTCTGATTTTTAGAGTTTCCAGTTTTTCTGCTCTGTTTTTTCCCCATCTTTGTGGTTTTATCTACCTTTGTTCTTTGATGATGGTGACGTACAGATGGGTTTTTGGTGTGGATGGTCTTTCTGTTTGTTAGTTTTCTTTCTAACAGTCAGGACCCTCAGCTGCAGGTCTGTTGGAGTTTGCTGGAGGTCCACTCCAGACCCTGTTTGCCTGGGTATCAGCAGCGGTGGCTGCAGAACAGCAGATATTGGTGAACCGCAAATGCTGCTGCCTGATCATTCCTCTGGAAGTTTTGTCTCAGAGGAGTACCCAGCCGTGTGAGGTGTCAGTCCACCCCTACTGGGGGGTGCCTCCCAGTTAGGCCACTCAGGGGTCAGGGACCCACTTGAGGAGGCAGTCTGCCCGTTCTAAGAACTCAAGCTGCGTGCTGGGAGAACCACTACTCTCTTCAAAGCTGTCAGAGAGGGACATTTAAGTCTTCAGAGGTTATTTGTCTGTGCCCTGTCCCCAGAGGTGGAGCCTATTGAGGCAGGCAGGCCTCCTTGAGCTGTGGTGGGCTCCACCTAGTTCGAGCTTCCAGACCGCTTTGTTTACCAACTCAAACCTTGGCAATGGCGGGCGCCCCTCTCCCAGCCTTGCTGCCGCCTTGTAGTTTGATCTCAGACTGCTGTGCTAGCAATGAGTGAGGCTCTGTGGGTGTAGGACCTTCCGAGCCAGGTGCGAGATATAATCTCCTCGTGTGCCTTTTGTTAAGCCTGTTGGAAAAGCGCAGTATTAGGGTGAGAGTGACCTGATTTTCCAGGCACCGTCTGTCACCCCTTTCTTTGACTAGGAAAGGGAATTCCCTGACCTCTTGTGTTTCCCAGGTGAGGCGATGCCTTGCCCTGCTTCAGCTCACGCACAGTGCACTGCACCCACTGTCCTGCACCCACTGTCTGGCACTCCCCAGTGAGATGAACTCGGCACCTCAGTTGGAAATGCAGAAATCACCCGTCTTTTGCATCGCTCACACTGGGAGCTATAGACTGGAACTGTTCCTATTTGGCCATCTTTGCTCCACCCTCTGTGAGTGCTTTCAATAAATATTTATTGAGTGGATAAAGGACAGAATGATGACTACTCTCTATCTGAAGAGACTCTGTGAGGCAAAGGAGAGTGTGAAATGGTAACAAATTGCAACTAGGAGTCCCGAGGTGACAGTTTTACCATTAAGGGAAGAGTAGGTAGTTTGGTAGTGAAGGCAAGGAAAGTAAACTTGACTTTTCAAAAAATTAGGTTAATTCTTCCTAGGTTAATACTTCCAACTCCTAGGAAGTTTTTAGAGAGTTCTGGGGTGTTTTCAGTTATCAGAATGATTGTGGGAGGGGGGATTGTCTAACTGGCAATTATTGGTAGGGAGACAGGAATCCTAGATGTCCCCATGTATTAGAAAGTCCCACACCATAAAGAGTTTTCCAAATCTCAAACAGCCCCTGGATGTTCTGCTGGATTTTCAGGCTAATGGAGCACATTTTTGTGTGATTATCTGAGCCTAGACCAGTGTTTCTCAAACTTTAATAGGCATATGAACCACTTGGGAGCCTTCATGTAGTGAAGGGTTTTTTTTTGTATTTTTAAAACGGATATATCATAGATGTATATATTTTTGAGGTACATGTGGTGTTTTAATACATGTATACAATGTGGAATGATCAAGTCAGGTAATTGGGATATCCATTACCTGCAACACTGATCCTCTCTTTGTGTTGGGAACATTACAATTCTTCTCTTCTAGTGATTTTGAAATATACAATAAATTATTATTTATTATAATTTCCCTACTGTATTATTGAATATTATAACTTATCCTTTCTATCTACTTATATTTATGTAATGAAGATTCTAATTCTTCAGGTCTTATATGTGGCCTAAGAGTCCCATATAACCAGCTCCAGGTGACGCAAAGACACTGGTTCATGGGTCCCCCTCCCAGAAGGTGTGATTGAACTGACTGGGGTGAGTCCTATGCATCTGGAGCATTGAAGGCTTCCTGGGCTGTTTTAATATGCAATCATGGTTAACAATTACTAGCCTAGAGACTAACTCTTTTTAGATATAAACACAATGTAATTTTTACATGGTTTTAGGTACAGGGAATCTTTTATGACACCATGTAAATGGAAGAAAGGCTGTACTTTGATTTGTTTTGAACTGTTCCTAAGAGCTGTTCACCCTTTGGAAAGTTGAGCCCCTGATGGCAAGACCAGTCATAGTATTTGAGATGTTAATTCATTCTATCTGTATTGGTAGCTTTTGAATTCACAGTGATCCACCTAACTTGGTAAGTTTTTGACACTTTCAATGGGTCTTCCCTAGTATAATCATGCCCAAACATTTATATATTTATATACATATGTTGATTTACTTTCTTTTTATTTCTCATTTATAATACAATTAATAATTATGTTGATTTTTTAAAAATATGTGGGCAGGGAGGTTATTATCTGTCAATGTCATTTTGGGATATTAGTGGGGCAATTGGGTCTGATAGAGCTGAAAACTTCTGAATCAGAATGGAGGGCAGGGGAGCACCATCATAGGCAGCAGACTTGAGGAAAGGGGCTTTAGGCTATAAGAGAACTGAATACAGTGTCTTCACCTGAAGGTCAGTGGATGGCTTCATAAGTCTCATTAAAATTATGCCTTTTTTTTTTTTTTTTTGCTTTGAGACAGTCTCACTCTGTCACCCAGGCTGGAATGCAGTGGCACGATCTTCGCTCACTGCAACCTCTGTCTCCCCATTCAAGCAATTCTCATGCCTCAGCCTCCTGAGTAGCTGGAATTACAGGTGCGCCACCACGCCTGGCTAGCTTTTGTATTTTTAATAGCGACAGGGTTTTGTCATGTTGACCAGGCTGGTCTCAAACTCCTGACCACAAGTGAGCTGCCTGCTTCAGCCTCCCAAAGTGCTGGGATTATAGGCATGAGCCACTGTGCTTGGCCTAAAATTACAACTTTAAATAACAAAAATTTAAATCAAAAAGGAAAAAGCCCATAATCTGACTACCTATTCAAATAAGCTATTTTCATTTTTTTCTGTTTCTTATCCATGTATATGAAAATAAAAAATAATGTAATTGTAGAGTAGATATGATTTTGTATTTTTTCTATTAATATTGTGGTAAACACTTCCCTTTTAATGACTGTATCATGTTCTTATAACAATGTCTTAACCGTTTCGCTAATTGTAACTGAAAATGGATTTAAATGTTTGCTACTATGAATAACATTGCAATATATATTTGTATGATTAGAATTTCTTTTTATAGTGGAGAGATTATTCCTTTAGGGAGAATTGCCAGGAGTGAGATTACATGGTCAACACCTATGAATATTTTTATGACTAAAATGTGTTGCCACATAGCTTGCTGGAAGGGCTATACCAAAAGCAAGTTGGCTTTTAAAGGTCAAACTTATTTTGATACAAGATCTACATATGTGCCACATTAACTAACCATTTATCAACTGGTGAGAAATAAAATATATCATTTCTTAACATACAGAATAAGAATATAATCCAGCAATTGTGCCAAAATCTTCATGTTGTGAATGGGCCAGGCAATCACAAACCTCAGTTCTCTTCATTTTGGTCATAATTTTTTTTCTAATTATGACGGAGTCTTGCTCTGTCGTCCAGCCTGGAGTGCAGTGGCATGATCTCGGCTCACTGCAACCTCTGCCTCCTGGTTTCAAGTGATTTTTCTGCCTTGGCCTCCCGCGTAGCTGGGATTACAGCACCCTCCACCACACCTGGCTAATTTTTGTATTTTTATTAGAGATGGGGTTTCACCAGGTTGGTCAGGCTGGTCTTGAATTCCTGACCTCAAGAGATCCGCCTGCCTTGGCCTCCTAAAGTGCTGGGATTGCAAGTGTGAGCCATCATACCTGGCCCTTTGGTCATAATTTTAAAGTAGATCCCCTCTTCTCTAAGTCACATTTTGGAAACTCTGTGGCCCAAGCCTCAGGTATGGTTATTTCCATTCTTCTTTTTGCCATAGCATACGTGAGAGGGCTGAGGCTGTAATTTTACTTGTGTATATGCATGTTAGATCTCATTTTACTTCATAATCTCCAACACTTGAGAGGATTAAAAATGAAGATTATGGCCGGTGAGATGGGTCATGCCTGTAATCCCAGCACTTTGGGAGGCTGAGGTAGGAAGGTTGCTTGAGCCCAGAAGTCTGAGACCAGCCTGGGCAACATGGAGAACCCCATCTCAACAAAATATTTTTAAGATGAGCCAGGTGTCATGTGCCTGTAGTCCTAGCTACTTGGAAGGCTGAGGCGGGAGGAGCCCTTCAGGGGTTGAGGCTGTCATGGGCTGTGATTGCACTCCACTGCACTCCAGCCTGGAACACAGAGTGAGACCTTGTTTCAAGAAAAAAAAAAAAAAGAAAATTACAACTGGTTCCCAAACTTCTTGGAAACAACATAACTTTCCTCTTAATAAATAAAGCAGTCAGATTCTGAGGTATAGTTTAAAAAATACCTTACATAAGTGATTTCATCTGCACAGTGCCAGAGTTGCATTGTTCTATTATTCTTGATTTAGCAGATGCATTTCATGAAATGGCTAAAATATACATGTGATAGCACTTAGGGAAATTGGAGCCATAGGTGATGTCAGAGAGAATAGATCCCTTCCATGACATTGATTTAAATCAGGTGACAGGATCTGAGATCTGGTGTTTTTAAAACTGCCTCATGATGACTTTTAGTCTTAGCAAAAGTGGCTAAATCCCTTTCTTTCTTCTCCCTCCAAAATACTTAAAATCTTTGTGTAAAATTGGGAATAACACCATTTATTGGCTATTCCACAAGTAAGACACTCACTTGCATTCATTCTTGGGGTTGCTTTCTTTTCTTACATTCTTATTTGATTTTCCCGTCTTGAGCACTGATTTAAACTTCCTTGAAGATCAGGGCATCTGTTTATTTAATTTCATGGCTGCCTCTTTTTCTTATTATCTCCAGGGACATCTTTATGGATCACTGAAGAAGAATACTTCATTTCTCAAACAACACAAATTATGGCATTCAGCAGCAGCCAGATATACCTTACACGTGGAATTTTAAATGCAGGGGAACACCAAATAAGTTGGTAAAACCAGGAAGAATGGATGGGATGGTCTTAGGAGCAAGCATGGGGGAATGGGTGCTCATTATAACATTATTAGTGAAATAAAATAAACCTTAAAAAAGAGTGTGTTTTAGGTTCATGTACTAGAGACGGTTGTGAGACTTTGGGCAAATTCCTTATCTTTTCTGTTTTGAGACATAGTCTTGCGCTATTGTCTGGGTTGAAGTGTAGTGGCACAATCATAGCTCAGTGCAGCCTCTGGGCTCAAGAGATCCTCCCACCTCAGCCTCTCGAGTAGCTGGGACTATAGGTACATATACCACCACCACTCCCAGCTAATTTAAAAAATTTTTTTGTAGAGACAGGGTCTCACTCTGTTGCCCAGGCTGGTCTCCAACTCCTGGCTTTAAGCAGTTCTTCTGCTTTGGCCTCCCAAAGTGCTGGAATTACAGGTGTGAGTCACCATGTGGAGCCTTCTTTAACTTTTCTAACCTCAGATTTATCTTCCATAAATTGGGTTAATGCCTACTTTCATCAAGGTTAGATAATGCTTTTCTTCCTCAGTCTTCTTCCTTGTGGTGGGTCCTGAATGATGGCAAACGAAGGTGGCTGATATTTGAAAAACCCAGATAGGCATTTTATTCTATTATTTTTATTTTACCTCTGGTATTGTGGGAGAAATATTAGCCTTTGGACTCAATAAACAAACTCCAGACATAATGAAGTATTTAGCAAGGTGGAAAGATGCAAGGCCCATAGACAAAACTCAATTTTATTTATATAAAGCACCAGCAAAAAATTGGAATATAAAACAAATAGAAGTATCCTATCCATAAAAGCATCCAAAAAACACAAAACAAAAATAAATTTAACAAAAGATGTGTAAAGCTCTACACTAAACAGTCAAAAATATAAATGAGAGAAATTAAAGAAGATCTATATAAACGGAGAAATATGCTATGTTTATAGGCTGGGAGACTCAATATTGTTAAGATTGTTCTTCCCAAATTGGACTATATATTCATTGACATCCCAATCAAAACTCCAAAAGAAATTTTTGGTAGAAATTAACAAACTATTTTTAAAATGTATATGGAAATGCAAAGAACCAAGAATAGCCAAAAATAATCTTGAAAAAAACAACAGCAAAGTCTGAGGATGTACCCTACCAGATTTTAAAGACTTACTACAAAGCAATAGTAATCAAGACCATATGGTATTGGCATGAGGACAGACAAAGCAGTCAACAAATCAAGTCTGAAAACAGACCCACACATAGATGTTCAAATGATTTTTCAGTAAGTGTCAAAGTGATTCAAGAGGAAAGAAAACTCTCTTCATAAGATGACATTGAAGCAACTGAATATCTAAATAGAGAAAAAAACCCTTCAACTTCAGCTTTACATAATATACAAACATTAATTAATATGAATCACAAACCCAAACACAAAAAGCAAAAACTTCAAAAGTACCTAGAACAAAATAGAATGATTTATTATGATTTCTGCAAAATCTATTAATTCAATGCAATTCCCATTGGGTACAGTGTACACTGCTTAGGTGAAGGGTGCACCAAAATCTCACAAATCACCACTAAAGAGAACACAAAAAATGCTAACCACAAAAGAAAAAAATGATAAATTGAACTTTATCAAAATTAAAATCACCTGCTTATCAAAAGACACTATGGTCTTAGCCAGAGCTAGTCAAACTCTTGCTGCTTGCTCATGACATGATCCTGTACCTAGAAAACTCTAATGACTCATCCAAAAAGCTCCTAGGACTGGTAAATGAATTCAGCAAAGTTTCAGGATACAAAATTAATGTACACAAATTAGTAGCCCTGTTATACACCAACAGCGGCCAAGCTGAGATTCAAATGAAGAACTCAACTCCTTTTACAATAGCTTGAAAAAAAATACAATACAGAGGAATATACTTAACCAAGAAGGTGAAAGACTTCTACAAGGAAAACTACAAGACACTGCTGAAAGAAATCATAGATGACACAAACAAACGGAAACAAAACCCCTGCTCGTGGCCGGGTAGAATCAATATTGTGAAAATGACCATACTGCCAAAAACAATCTACAAATTCAATGCAATTCCCATCAAAATACACAGTCATTTTTCACAGAACTAGAAAAAACAATCATGAAATTCATATGAAACAACAAAGAGTCCACATAGCCAAAGCAAGACTGGGCAAAAAGAACAAATCAGGAGGCATCACGTTACCTGACTTGAAACTATACTATAAGGCCATAGTCACCAAAACAGCATGGTACTGGTATAAAAACAGGCACATAGACCAATGGAACAGAATAGAGAACCCAGAAATAAACCCAAATACTTACAGTCAACTGATCTTCGACAAAACAAACAAAAACATAAAGTGGGGAAAGGACATCCTATTCAACAAATGGTGCTGGGATAATTGGCAAGCCACATGCAAAAGAATGAAACTGGATCCTCATCTCTCATCTTATACAAAAATCAAGTCAAGATGATCAAAGACTTAAATCTAAGATCTGAAACCATAAGAATTGTAGAAGATAACATTGGAAAAACCCTTCTAGACTTTGGCTTAGGCAAAGACTTCATGACCAAGAATGCAAAAGCAAATGGAACAAAAACAAAGGTAAATAAATGAGACTTAACTAAACTAAAAAGCTTCTGCACAGCAACAGAAATAATTGGCAGAGTAAATAGATAACCCACAGAGTGGGAGAAAATCTTCACAATCTACACATCCAACAAAGGACTAATATCCAGAATCTACAAGGAACTCAAGCAAATCAGCAAGAAACAAACAAACAAACAATCCCATCAAAAAGTGAGCTAAGGACATGAATAGACAATTCTCAAAAGATGATATGTAAATGGCCAACAAACATATGAAAAAATGCTCAACATCTCTAATTATCAGGGAAATGCAAATCAAAACCACAATGAGATACCACCTTACTCCTATAAGAATGGCCGTAATAAAAAAATACTGGATGCTGGAGTGGATGTGGTGAAAAGGCAACATTTTTATGCTGTTGGTGAGAATGTAAACCATGGAAAACAGGTGTGGAGATTCTTTAAAAACTAAAAGTAAGTCTACCATTTGATGTAGCAATTCCACTCCTTGGTATCTACCCAGATGAAAAAAAGTCATTATACAAAAAAGACACTTGTACACACATGCTTGTAGCAGCACAATTTGCAATTGCAAAAATATGGAACCAGCCCAAATGCCCATCAATCAACAAGTGGATAAAGAAAATGTGGTACATATATACCATGGAATACCAGTCAGCCATAAAAAGGAACGAAATAATGGCATTTGCAACACTCTGGGGTGGAATTGGAAACCATTATTTTAAGTGAAGTAACCCAGAAATGGAAAACCAAACATCGTATATGTTCTCACTCATAAGTGGGAGCTAAGCTATGAGTACACAAAGGCATAAGAATGATACAAAGGACTTTGGGGACCTGGGGGAAGTGTGGGAAGGATATGAGGCATAAAAGACTACACATTGGGTACAGTGTACACTGCTCAGGTGCACCAGAATCTCAGAAATCACCACTAAAGAACTTATTCATGTAACCAAACACCACCTCTTCCCCAAAAACCTATTGGAAAAAAAAAGACACCATGAAGAAAATAAATAGAGGGCAGGTGTGGCGGCTTATGCCTGTAATCCCAACACTTTGGGAGGCCAATGTGGGAGGATTGCTTGAAGCCAGGAGTTTGAGACCAGCCTGGGCAACATAGTGAGACCTCCATCTCCACAAAAAGTAAAAATACTAGCCAGACGTGGTGGTGTGCACTTATAATCCTAGCTACTTGACGGACTGAGGCAAGAGGATTGCTTGAAATTTGATGTTACAATGAGCTATGATTGTGCCACTATACTCCAACCTAGGCAATAGAGTGAGACCTTTTCTTAAAGAAAGAAAAAGAAAAAGAAAAGGAATACATAAGCCCCAAACTAGAAAAAATATTTGTAACACAAAGATTTGACAAGGATTTTGAATCTAGATTATATATAAAGAACTTCTACAAATCAATAATGAAACTTTGAGCAATACAGTAAACATAGGCAAAAGGTTTGAACAGATGTATTACAAAAGAGGATATATGAATGATCAATTAACACAAAAAAAGATGGTCAATACCATTAGTCCTTAGGAAAAGGCAAATTAAAATTGCAATGTGTTACGTCACATGTACAAAAACGGTTAACATTTAAAAGACTAACAATACCAAATGTGGGTGAAGACATGGAAAAATGGATCTCACATATATTGCTGGAGAGAGTATAAAATGGAACAGCCACTTTGGAAAAATATTTGGCAGTTACTTATGAAGTTAAACATATATCTACCCTATGAACTAGTAATTAGGTATTAAATGTTGAGAAATGAAAACATTCATTGAGCCAAACCTGGAAACAATCCAAAGGTTCATGAACAAGAGAATAGATAAACAAATTGTACTATATTCATACAAAAATACTTCCCAGCAATAAAAAAGAATAAAGTACTGATATGCACAACCTACAAGAGTCTCAAAAACATTATGTTAAACAAAAGAAGCAAGACCCAAAGTTAAACGTGCTGTATGATTGCCTTTATATAAAGTTCAAGAACAGACAAAACTTATCTATGATGAGAGAAAGAAGAACAATGGTTACCTATGAGCGGGATTCACTGGAAGGAGTATATGGAAAATTTTGACGGTAAAGGAAATGTTCTATGCTTGGAAATTTCTACCAAAAATGGTGTTTTTTAAAAGACAGTTTGAGGTATTGATGAAGTGTATATATACATTTATCACAACTCATCAGATTGTACACTTAAGATCTGTTCACTTTATATAAATTTTACTTTAATGAAAATGAAAAAGAATGCATCTTAATTAGAAATCAGGCTGGGAAAACCAAAGGAAAGCAACTTAATTTATTTTGTTTCTCTGGTATTTAAAATTGAAATAATCCATATGTCACCAACTCAAATATTTTCTCTCCACCATCTATTTTATACATCTTTCCAGTTTTGAGTGGCAAGCAAAGAGGATACTAATTCACAGTTTTTTGTTTTGTTTTGTATTTTTAGTAGAGATGGAGTTTCACCATATTGGCCAGGCTGGTCTTGAACTTCTGACCTTGTGATCCACCCACCTCAGCCTCCCAAAGTGTTGGGATTACAGGCGTGAGCCACCGTGCCCTGCCTGATTCACAGTTTTATACATATAATAAGAGCTGCAAATAGTGGTTTGCATTTTCATTACTTCCAGCAAGTAGTGTTTCATTATATGCATTTTACAGTATCTTTAGTTCTCTTGTCAAGCCTTGTAGAGCACTTGAAGTGCTCTTCATTTAATGGTACTCTACTTCTCATAGGTTGAGCAGAACTGAAGGGTAGGGAAAGATTGTTTTGGGAAATCCAGAATTCTTTCCCTAAACCTTTACATTTTTAGAAACTAAAATACCTGGGAGAATGATGAGGAGACATGCTGTAATTAAGGAAGTAATCTGTTGATGGTGTGGCGGTGGCAATGATTAGTAAGAGGTGCTGAGCACAGTAAATACATAACCCAGGAGAACTAGGTGCCCTGTGTTTCAATGAGGAAATTTCATCGGAAAAGTTAGAATTTTATGACAAGCACACATAAACATATGTCCCAATAGTCCCTTCCAGCTATTGCTGTCCACTCACACTTATAACCATTCAGAGCTATCTCCTTGCTATTAATGTCTAACTTTCTTACTGACCTACCAGCAGGGTTTCCCCCACCCAGCTGTGTCCCTTCAGGATCTAAGGAACTATTAAATAAGAAAAAAAATTTTTGTCCATTCCTGTTCCACATCCTGTCAGCATGACCCTTCTCCTTCTCTATGTCCTTCTGAGGCATCCTAATTACTCCACAGAGCTTCACACTGCATGCTGTAGTCCAAAGTACATTGCAGCTCCCCTCCTTCTTTCCTGACACCCAGTTTGTGACCAGTCATGTACTTGGTGGCTGGTCATTCATTAGCTCATACTCATACTCTCTGTTGTTGCTGTTAATCAACCTCAGCAAGCTCTTGATGTTAAGGACTACGACTTCTGTTTCTTGTACTCCAGGCAGTGCTCTATCATATATAGCTGTTTAATTAACGAATGAATTAGTTAACTTTAACTCAATTCCAGAAATTAAATCATATTTGGCAGCTCAAACCTATAAGTTATAGTGCATTTCTTATCAATTTTAAAATAAAGAGTTTATTTCAACCTTTCTTGAGTGCAAGAAAGGTTCAGTTTTATCCAGAAGTAGGAACATAAACTTATTATTTATTTATTTATTTATTTTTTTGAGATAGAGTCTTGCTCTGTCACCCAGGCTGGAGTGCAGTGGCGTGTTATCGGCTCACTGCAACCTCCGCCTCCTGGGTTCAAGCAATTCTCCTGCCTCAGCCTCATGAGTAGCTGGGACTATAGGCATGTGCCACCACGCCTGGCTAACTTTTTGTATTTTTAGTAGAGATGGGGTTTCACCGTGTTAGCCAGGATGGTCTAGATCTCCTGAAGTGTGATCTGCCCACCTTGGCCTCCCAAAGTGCTGGGATTACAGGCATGAGCCACCACGCCCGGCTGGAATATAAACTTATTAAATATCTCTGTAAATCCTTCCCAGTTGGGTAGCTCTGTCCTATGATTTTGCTATCTGGGCAACTGTAGATGATGAATTAGCTGCGATTGATTTTCATCATCAGTCATCAGCCATAGCATCTGCTATACCTCTGTTGACTCCGTCATCTCCTAGGGAGCTTGTACTCAACATTAATGACAACATTAGCCCAGGTGACATGTAATTAAGAAAGCAAACCTTTTTCCAACCAAAAATAATATGAGAGATTCCAAATCCAAACAGAACAGAGCTGTGGATCATTTCATGTTTGTCTTCATATCATTCTCTCCACTCCACTCCACTGACACAGCGTGATGCTTGATTGTCCTCTAAGCCCCTTCCATTGCTGTCATCTGGGATGCTGGCAATGTATTGTGCTGAAAGGGAAGCTTATTAATAAAGTTAGTAACTCGAAGAGTCAGTGCAGGTTATTTGTAGGATGCTCATTATGAGTCTTGAGTCTGACTCAGTCCAGAAAGCAATGGAATATTCCGCATAACCACCTAAAGGACTTCTCTTTCCCCCTTCCCCAGGGTCTGTTTCTCCTGTAAGGGTTCAGAGCTGCCTGGCAGAGGCTGGCTGAAATAGGAGAAATCCTGACTTAAGCTGTTTCAGGAAAGTGATCCAGTCTTTGGAGAATAATCAGGACATAATTAAGTATGAGTAAAAGGCTTAGAGTTAGTCTGTTCTCCTCTGTAATGGGGTGTTCACTAGTGTGACAGTTGTTTTTGTGACTATTGCTTTTACGTACATTTTTGACCAGCACTTGGAACACTACCTCAGGGTAACTTAAATGAAAGTCCATTTTCCAGGATGGAGTAAACTGACAGAAATTTCCATCGTGCATCAAATCTGCTATAAGTTGTTTGCCTTCTGGGTATTTTTGGGCCCTAGTTGTACTCCTGAAGAAATAACCACTGTTGCTCCAAGTAGAAAGTGGTTGAGGAGACAGCTAACAGATACGTCCAGTTCTTATTTTCTATCACAGAGATGTGAAAAAAAAAAAGCCTAAATTATCTTAGAAGGAAAAGCATTCCTCTGTGCTGGATTTCCAGTGCTTCCCAGCTTTGCACTGTTAGCTTATTTTTTCCAATGTCCCTATAATAACAATCCACTCCTTTCTCTGCACTCCTGGCCCCTCGTGATGTTTTATCATGCTCATGCTGAAAGAAAAGGTGTCTGTCCATACTGTATCTCTTCATTTGGCCTCAGGGATTTCCCTTTGATTTGGAAAGAATAATCTTTCAAATTCCGCTATAAACTATACAGGAGAAAGAGAAAAATAAGATAAAGCTCCTGGAATGTGCACTGGTATTGACATTTCGTTCAAATAATGGGCTGAAGGTGAACTATCTTTACTATTGCTCATGTGAATGATCAATTATTATCAATCCAAACTATCAACAGTGCTGCTTATTATTGATTTATACTGCATGGTTTAATTTTGTCTCCATCCTTCCAGACATTAAAACATAGCCAATATTTAGCAGTTCCCGCCATTCACCATGAGCACCTCCACAGCCCCCAACTCCTCTCTCCCAGTTCTGCCCAGGATATTTATGGTGAGTAGCGAGTTATCTCCTCTTTGGCAGTCATCCCTGCTTTCCTGTGTGGAGGAATTGCCCACATTCGCATTTGCAAACAGAGGCTCACTCAAGTGTCACTAAAGGAAAGGAGGTGGAGCCTGAAGAGCTTTAAAAAGCAAAGCTGAGTCATTCCACTTTTCAAAAAGAGAAACTGTTGGGAGAGGAATCGTATCTCCATATTTCTTCTTTCAGCCCCAATCCAAGGGTTGTAGCTGGAACTTTCCATCAGTTCTTCCTTTCTTTTTCCTCTCTAAGCCTTTGCCTTGCTCTGTCACAGTGAAGTCAGCCAGAGCAGGGCTGTTAAACTCTGTGAAATTTGTCATAAGGGTGTCAGGTATTTCTTACTGGCTTCCAAAGAAACATAGATAAAGAAATCTTTCCTGTGGCTTCCCTTGGCAGGCTGCATTCAGAAGGTCTCTCAGTTGAAGAAAGAGCTTGGAGGACAACAGCACAACAGGAGAGTAAAAGATGCCCCAGGGCTGAGGCCTCCGCTCAGGCAGCCGCATCTGGGGTCAATCATACTCACCTTGCCCGGGCCATGCTCCAGCAAAATCAAGCTGTTTTCTTTTGAAAGTTCAAACTCATCAAGATTATGCTGCTCACTCTTATCATTCTGTTGCCAGTAGTTTCAAAATTTAGTTTTGTTAGTCTCTCAGCACCGCAGCACTGGAGCTGTCCTGAAGGTACTCTCGCAGGAAATGGGAATTCTACTTGTGTGGGTAAGTACTCCAATGAAAAGGTGCTCCAGGTCTCCGGGAAACTGCCCCCACATCCCTGTTGGTTCAATCTGGTATACTTGGGCATTTAACAAAGTTTGTCTTTGGGTATGTATAGTTGCTTAATTTTTGTTTTCTGATGCATGTTTATTTTCTTACTGGCCATTAGAGCTAATCTGCTACCAACTATAAAACTTCATAACTCTCAAACTGTACTTCTGTGTATAAGTGAATGAATATGCCTCATTTTAAACTAGCAGAACATTTCATGGAAGCTTCAGCTTTTACTCTGACAAGAGGAGTAATTAACACCTGGCTAATTGCTTGGAAATTAGGGAAACAGATGGTTGATTTTTTGTTTGTCTGTTTGAAACTCTTAAGCCACAAAGAAAAAAATCCTTCCTTCTGATAACTTGTAAGAATTCAGAAGTTCTAAAAATTAGTGAAAAATGGAAAGGGAACTGTGAACAAAGGTAGTTGTGAAAATTAACCTAAATTTCAATTTCAACCTCCTTCACTTTCTCCCCACTCTTACTGTTTCTGAGGCTCTGACACAACTCCGGAGTTTTAGTAACAGGTGCATTGCAACTTTAAGAACTGCCAAATATGATAATGGGTAAATAAGCCACACTGTCCTCTCATATTAAATGAATTTTTTGCCAAGGGGAAATGGGAGCTTGACTGAATGCGAATTACAATCCTGCCAAAGGATATTGCCTGAAAAACATTCTCTCTCTAACTGTTAATTCATTTATTTAATCCTTGGGTGAGCCTCCAACCTGCTGCTTAGACACGGCAGCCGCCTTTGTTGATGAGAGGTTATAGCTGCCCCGACATTCCATTTTTATCAGCTTGCCCTTTTGAGATGGCGTCTGGCTTTTAAAAAGAGGTAGATTGAGGGGGAAAACACAGTACAGTTTCCAGAAGAGACACCTATGGAAGACAGTACACAATAGGCAATAGTTTGAATAAAGAGAGCAGAATGGAGCCAAACTGCCAAAGCTAGGCTGCTGTCCTGGCTCTCCCATTAAGGAAGTTCCCGATGAGGAAATCAGGTGCTTTTGCTCAGAATCTCTGGACTCTGTTCTCAGGTAGCACTCCTTGTAACAGGTGAGCAGAACTCTAGGGTATTTGAAATAAAGACTTAATCCTAGTGATCTCTATGTTCCCAGCACCTAGGACATTCCTGCTTCCACAGTGTGTACTCAGCAAATTCTTGTGTATGAATGAGGCGTCTTTCTCTGATCTGCTAATGACATAGTCCTAGAGAACAGCAACAAAAAGAGGGTGACAAATGACAAAAATGGCCCCATGAACCTCAGACTCAGCTGTTGGAGACAGAAGTAAAACTTCTGTATACAGTTATGTCAAATGGACTGGACTCTCTTTGGGGTGGGAGAATTTTCCGTGGAGTAGTTGGCAAATATCTAGAGTTGGGCACTGTCATTTGCATGGGATGTGAGGGGTGATGGTTGGGCCGATCTATCAGGCAGCCAGAAGCTAGGAAAGAAGAACCCAGGTTGCTGAAGCAGAACCCAAGAAATTACAAAAATGAGCTTTTATGGATGGCTCTAGGATCTCAGAATAGTCTGATTCCTGCTGGCAAGCAAGTCTATGCCTTGTTTTCCTTGCCACCTCTGGTGGCTCAGAAGTGCCTTCATTGAGGTAGGTTGTACCCAATAAACATGAAACCCAGGATAGAAACAATAAGTTGGGGAGACTGTGTCACAGAGTGGAAGGAACCACAGGTTTTAGAAACAAACAAGCCTCATTTCATATCCATGCTACCAACTTAATAGCTGAGTTACTTTAGAGTATCTCTGGGAAATAATACCCTCGCCCACTGCTTTTAGGATTTTTTTGTGGGGAATCACATGAGATAACCTAGCATGTACCAAAGCATGGTGCTTAGCAGAGTATGCTCAATAAATGTCCTCCTGGGCTCCACGTCTTGGCTAAATCTCTGATCAAGTCATACGATGAGATGCCGTATTTGAACAGTGCAGTGACACGGCACAGATCCATGGAGTGTGGAATGTGTGGATGGCACTTTGGGATTCCCTGCCTCTCTGCTACCTCATTTCTTGCAAGTCACTGGTTTAAATCCCGTACTTTACGCTCCTGGTCTCATGTTAGCTGATAACTGCCTGGGTCACCCTTTGTCAGTCACTGTGTGCATTTCAGAGGATAGTATTTCTTTCTCCTCTCTAAATAGATATGGTGCCATCATCTATTTTTCCCTCATTTAAATTCTACTTGCCTTATTTCTTGCCCTTGGCATTGAGACAGATCACCTCTGCAGCCACCTGACCCAGCAGGAAGAATGCTTTATGGTCTAACAGTATTCAGGTAAACTTATGCAAGATTGTTACTCATGTGACTGCTAGCCGGATAAACCAAGTGATAGCAACACAATTAGGTTTCTTTCTATTCCCCTCCCTCTCCCTCCTTTTAACTGAGTATTCTGTTAGCGTCTACTTGAGCTACAGCAGGTGAGGACAGCAGGAAAGAAAACTGCTGGCAAGTGGTTTCTGAACCTTCAAGTCTATTTACCCTGGAGGACAAATAACAGTTGAAAAAGAAATTGTTCCTGTTTGGCTTCTGTACCTGCATTATTTATATGAACTTTTTTGGTAATAAAGGGTAAGGAAGAAGTACAGCCTCCCAGCTGCGGGAGGGATCCTGGGGTGGCACTAAGTTATCACTTTTAGTAGTAAACAGTGAAATCAGTGATTTCAGTACCGGCTAAGGCGTGGTCAGCATCCCAGTCATGTGCAAACCAGAGTAATTCTGAGACCAGAAGCTTGTCTGTTTTTTCAGCCAGGGTTATGCGATTTTTTTTCTTTTTTTCTAACAGCAGTGAAACTAACCTCCAAATATTCAGTGGTGTTTGGTCATTGAGCTTAGTGGTAAAGAAGCATAAATTTTGGAGACAGATTTCTTGCCTGGATTCAAATCCCATTTCTGCTGCTTGTGAACTGTTTGTCTCATTTTCCTTACCCTAAAATGAAGATAATTGTACCCTCTTCCGAGGACTCTTGTCAGTATTGCGTTAATGTATTCATTTTCAGTGCTGGCTGTGCATTAGAATCACTAATGTCTGGGTGGCCACCCCGGGCAGTCTGGATCAGAGTCTCTTCTGGGAGTGGAATCTAGGCCTTATTTTTTTTTAATGTGGTGATTCTAACCAACAGCCTGGGTTAGAACCACTGAGTTAATATATGTAAAGTGCACAAAACAGAGCTTGGCATACAATAAACACTCGATAAGCCCGAGATTCTATTAATGTTTTGTTGTTTTAAAAATTATTTTTATGAATGTAATGGTATTTTCTAAATGTGGCTTGGTTTCGCCTATAATCATCGAACATTTTTTATACATGACAAAATGCCATAGTGAAAAACCCAATAATAGTTCTACAACATTAAAAATTATAGTCAAAATAATTTAAAAATACATAACTCATATTTTTGTAATCAGAAGAAATGTTTATTAAAAATACAAGAACATGTCAACTTGATTTGAGTAAGTACCTTTGTGAAACTGTGGCTCTGGTGTTTGTCTTTTTCTTATACCAACTGATAAAAAATTTCATTCATTGCAAATTAACTCTGTTCGTCGGGTTTCTTACCGGTAATAATCTTATTTTAACAGCAGCAAAAACAAGCCACTTGAAAGTGATAGCGATTATTTCAGTTTTTTGCATATTTTTGCCCATGTGTGGAACCCTTCCCTTGTGGATTTTTAAAGCTATTAAAAGCATATAAAAATGGTAAATTAGTTTTCTCAGTTAATTTACATTTTGGGGCTAATTTGAGCTTGTCAAAATATTTGACATTCAATTTAGAAGTTGCTTGTGTTCATGGTAGAGCAAGTAATTGATTGTTTCTATCAAAAGTAAACAGACTAATAATTTGGCTCAAGCAAATTAAAAACCTTACTTTATAATTTACAAATCTGCCTTTATGAAAATCCATTTCAAATTATTCCTTGGGTAGTATGGTTGGTTGGAGGTTTTTTAGCTTTTAGTTTTTGTCTTTTTTTTTTAATTTCAATTTTTACTTTACATTCAGGTGTACATGTGGAGGTTTGTTACAAGGGGATATTGTGTGATGGTGAGGTTTGGGCTTCTATTGATCCCATGTGATCAGTTGGTTTTTTATTTTTATTTTTATTTTTTGAGACAGGTTTTGCTCTGTCGCCCAGGCTGGAGTACAGTGGCATGATCTTGGCTCACTGCAACCTCCGCCTCCCAGGTTCAAGCAATTCTCCTGTCTCAGCCTCCTGAGTAGTTGGGATTACAGGCATATGCCACCACACCTGCTAATTTTTGTATTTTTAGTAGAGATGGGGTTTCATCATGTTGGCCAGGCTGGTCTCGAACTCCTGACCTCAAGTGATCAGCCCACCTCAGCCTCCCAAAGTGCTGGGATTACAGGCATGAGCCACCACGACTGGCCTCAGTTGGTTTATTAAATCAGTACTCTCCAGACTCCGTTCCATCAGTAAAATAATTAAAATGTAAGCATATGCTTCTAATAAACACATTTACTTATCAATTACATACATGTAATATGTACACTGTACACATGAACATGTGTATGTAATGAACATTACACAACAAATAACGTATCTAATATTTTCTTTCTACACAATAGCAAACCATCTTACATAGCCTCTATGTGATATACACCCTCCTTGGAAGATAGTTTTAGAAAATAAGTGAAATGGTAGAATAAACGTTTACCTTTTCTTCACTATAAGCTCTGTTCCTTTCTCTTGATTGCTAGGTGTGGTTTTTTTTTTTTTTTTAAATTTCAAGTAAAGGTGGGTTATTCATAGCGAATGACTTTTCTCAGAGTGTGTAATGGTAGAAACAGAAATGCGTGTGGTTGTGCTGAGATTCTTCCGGAAGGAGTGGAAGGCCAGATGATGTTCCTGAGGGGGACCTGGAGTTTGAGAAATGCCCAAGTCCTGTGGCTTGCTGGGCTCAGCATCTATTTAAATTAAAGTGACCTGCACCTCTATCATATGTTCCAGGAAACCCAATGTCTCTCTCCTCTGTCTTGGAAGATGCTGGAGGTGGGGGCTGTGATGAGGAAGGCAAGGCTATGTGTCCCTTCTGGGCCTCCTACTGAATGATTCATCTACTGTGTGTCTCACTGCCCTCATGTACTGTCCCTTTCCCATACTTCACCACCTCACACCAGCCACCACCCTGTCTCACTTACTTCTTGAAAGAACGAGGAAACAATTGTTATGAGCTGTGAGGGGACAGACTTTACCTGAAGGTTTGCTGTTGGGAGGGTTGGGGCAAGGGCAGGGGCTGCTTACATCCCAGCGCTTCCAACAACAAAGTAAAACATTTTTCATTCCTGTTCCTAAAAGTGACACAAGGTCATCTGTGGAAGGGACTTGCCAGACATCTCTTTTTCTTGGGCCTTAGTCTTCCACCACATGAGCGAAACCCTCTTTCTCCCACAGTGATACTGACCTGCACCTTGGCCGCTTTCCTGGGCCTCCTTAATCTACTTCAGACCATCCATATCCTTCTGCAGAACATTTTAGATTTCTTCTTCCTCCAATTTTGCTTTTCTGATCATATCCGAGACTTGCCTTTTTAAATGAAAATAACTTCAAAAACTATTAAATAGTGAGCTGATGTGTTTTGCTAAACAAAAACAGTTGTGTACTCCTTTGAGAATTTCTGGCTCCTGATTTCAAAGTAATCATTTTTCTTTTCCTTCTACAATGGGAGATGTTAATTTTGAGACAGAAGTGAAGATTCTTGTAGGCAGTCCCAGGTATTAGGAATGCATGCTTCTCTGTCTCTCTCTCTCTCTCTCTCTCTCTCTCTCTCTCTCTCTCTCTCTCTCTCTCTCATCTCTCTCTCTCTCTCATCTCTCTCTCCCTCTGTCTGTATCTCTCTCTGTCCTGTATTCTGAGTCTGGGAAGGGACTACTGCACTTTGGGGCTGGGGAGTGCCTTTACTTTGGCTTGATGGACATAAGTCATAAGTAAGGCAGGGCACTGACTTGAAAAGAGACTTTAACAGGTCTGGTCATGGCCAGTGATTGTGAGTTATACTATAGGTTGTCCTCCTCCCCTCTCCACAATTCTTAAAGAGGACTTCAGTAAAAGTTAGACATTGATCTCACTTGTGCTCAGGTGAAATGGTACATGAGTGACAGGTAGGGGGGAACTACTTCCAGGAGCACTGTGGCCTCACATTGGTGTGGCCAGAGATCAAGGAGATCAGAGGAGAGCTCTTGATGGGGTAAGGATGAGAGAGGTAGGCCCCGGAATCTCTCAGAAAGGTCTAGGATGGAAAGATTTTAAAGAAGGCTAATTTCCAGCAATTTGCTTGTGGTGGCATGGTCCAAAAAATTTCACTATAAAAAAGAAATGTGCCCTTATTTAGTAGTTACTGACTGGACAGGTCAAGTGTAAACGATACACATCTGTAAATAGAGAAGTATGCTCAGAATATTCCCTAGTCAGTCAGTGGTCTGCTATTGGGAGCATCAAATAGTTTGGCTTGTGAATCAGTACAATGTCTTTTATTTTTATCGTTGATGCATAGGTTTCATTTAACAAATTCATATAGATGAATTTATAAGTTGTTTTTTAATCCATACAGAGTTAAAAAGTCAAACATTGAACCTCAGATGAAAGGTAACAAAGATTTCTTACCTGGAAAATAAGTCTTCTAAAATCTGTTCGAAGTCCTTAAACTTTTTGTCACTTTGATTACAATAGAGGAAACTCGGAGAACCTAGCAACTTTCCAATGTAAATTGCCTGATCTAAGCTATTTTAGCAATTATTGTACAGAAGTAGTTTTTATAAACTTATTGCAAACAAAACAATTAAAGACTCAATAACTATCCTCAATAGCTGGAAATGACTGCATTGGAGAGCGTTTTCAAAATAGTCAGTTTTTAAGAAACAAATCACTTTATCTCACTGGTGTGGCCAGAGGTCGAGGAGAACAGGGGAGAGCACTTGATGGGGCGAGGAGAAGAGAGGCAGGCCCTGGAATCTCTCAGAAAGGTCTAGGTCAGTTTTAAAGAAAGAAATCACGTTCTTTTAAAGGATTCCTAAATCTTTTTCAAGAAATTTTAAATTCCAGGAAGCAGTTTAGTGCTTAGTTTAATTATTACTCCAAATTTGGGCCATCCTAGAGCTAGTAAACAAAATATTAGTCTTATTATGTTATAGTTTCTCATGTGAGAATTAGAATTAACTTTAAGAAAGAACCAGAAACAACAACAGCAACTACAGAGATCCTGACCATTGGAATGTAATTGTCCCCATTGTCTATTTACTTCTTGCCTACAGGCCAGCGCTTTCCTCCAGAATGCTAATATTGTTCACCATGAAGGAAGTATTGCCTAGATATTAGGTGAACTAAGAACTAGATTCACTTTGTAGAGATTCTTTATTACCACTGAGGTGGTTGTGCACACGGCCATCCCAGGCCCTTCCCAGATGTCCTGTTTGCTGGGGCTCATGACAAGATGACTGAGAGTCAGGTCTGGAAGGATGAATACTATTATTGCCAGGTGTAGACGAAGAAAAAATTTCACTGAACAGAAGGGATCTTTACACTTCTTGAAAGATCTTACTATCTCTGAAAATGTTTTACTCTCTTGTTTTATATGGCCAAAGTTAATAACTTCCAAAGGCAATTGTGGAATAATGCTTGTCAATATGTCTTTCTTTAGGAGATGTTCTATTTCTTAAGAGCATCTTCCAGAGCTTTCTTCTCAATTCTGGGAATTAGCAAATGTATAGAAACTTCAGTTGTTTTAGCCAAATACAAGGCAGAAACTTCTACTCTCATCACCTGTTGACCTCCTTGCTAAGTCTGGAATCTGAATTGGTGTGAGCATCTGTTTTTTTTTTTATTCTGACTTGATTTTCTGATTCTCCCAAGTTGACCAAACATACTAATGCCTCTCACTGTCTGGGTTTCCCAAGTATTTCCCAGGACATTCAGTACACTGGAATTTGTGTGTGTGTGTGAAGGTATTTGAGAGCCAGCCAACTGCTGTGACAGTGATTCATGGTAGGCACTAATTTATTTGCAAAGCTTCTTCCCAGTGATGTAAGAGTCCTTTTGGAGAAAAGCACTGCCTCCTTCCTCCATTCAGACTAACTTCCCAGGGTGCTATGGACCAGCTTTGTGTGCAGTAAGGGAATTACATCCATGAGGTGGTTCTTTCTGTGGGTAGGTGGTTGCTAGGATACAGATAGTCACAACAGCATCACGGCAGCTGCCTTGTTCTTCAGCACATGGTGTATCAGTTGAGAAATAGTGTTTTATTTCATTCACTCCAACACTTTTCTGGTTAAAATTTTAAAAGCTTGAAGGAGGATCTTTCTTTTTCACACACACCATTCTTGTATAAACAGGTCAAAAACAGATTAGTCAAACTGAACATTGTCATAATACATGCCGGTTGACACCAATCCTCTGCTCTTCCAGCCCAGGCCTTCCCTTACGAGGTTTAAAAACATGCTGAAGGGTTGAAGCTACCAAGGGTCTTCTGGTGTTTTTCTCCCTTCCTCTGAAGTGCATAATTATTCTGTTTACTGGAAGATTTTCAACACAAAGGAAATTAACTTCTCCTTGGTGTGCAAGGAAATTGCAAAGGTTATTGTCATTAATGTTAATTTACCCACTATATCTTTTAGATTCAAGCAACATTGTTTAGAATGGTCAATGCTCTAAGTGGATCAAAAGGCTTATTATTTTTTGGAAGACAAATTTGAAAAACCTGCTGGAACTTTTATCTCTCCTGGTTACTCTAATGAATCATGGCAAAGATTTCATGTAAGTGGGAAAAAATGAGGTATTTGAAGAAAAATGTTCATCTAGGATTTCAATCCATTAAAAAGCACACAATCATGGACACCTACCTACAAGAGGATAAGTGACTGTCTTTCAATACTGACATGTTGTCTTCTGAGACAGGAGCTAATAGAAATATATAGCGCATGACATCCTCTTTAACATGAGCTATGTTGACACATATGAAGTTACTGGGTTTATTACTTCCAAGAGAGGCAGTGCCATTTTCAAACAAAGGATACATTTTAAGCAGAGTGAATTCTGGTTGGTTCTTTATACAGTGGGTTGATCTTGTCACACAGGCAAAAATGGAGCAGTTTTGGGCAGATGGTTCTAGTGTTACGCTTGCTTGTTGCCTTACTTTGCAAGAAGAAGTTCTCTCATCTTTGGTCAACGCCCTATGTCTGGCATGTCATGTTAGGCCTCAGCTTTTGAAATTGATAGGGTCTAATTCTGGAGCTGATATAAGCTGTTAATACCTACCTCTTAGATTGCTATGAGTACTAAATGGATTAATTCTTGTAAAATGCTTAGAATCTTAGCTGACGCAGTGAGTTATCAGCAAATATTGGCTATTACTCTCTACCAAAAACCATAAATGAGACATATTAGAAACATTTTCTATAATTTTTATAATACCTGTTTCTTCAAATTTTCAACAATGCTTAGAGAAGTCGGTTTCCTGGGATGAGCTAAGTCCTAAAAACTATCTTAACCAGCAGGTTCTTTGTGATTTTTAAAAATTATCCTTTTTATTATCCTAACATGTGACAAAACTCCCCATTAATTATTTTTTTTAAATAGTTAATCTTGCTATTTGTTACATATGTCTTCAAGAGAATTATATAAAATATTTTTTATGTATATTTATATAGCTGTACCTATAGGTATATATGTATATAGGTAAGGCCCAGAACTTAATGACCAGTGTAGGATTAATGAGAACAGTGAAACTGGGCTCAGGAAATAGCAATACGCCAACACTTCTTAATTTTACCTCATTTTTGTCTATTTGTCTAGAACACTCAGGATATAGTATCTATAGGCAAATATTTATGTGTTTATCCTTGCAATTTGAGAAACTAAATTTAAAGCTGGTTAAAAAAGAGAGAAGATAATTGTATTCAGTATAAATGAGACTTACACCAAATTTTGTACCTCCAATAAATTTGTTATAGATTTAATCAGTAGATTAATTTTTAGAATTCCTTTAGAAAGTTGAGTGTTTAGTGTCACTTAGGGGGAAGTTATTTAAGTTATTGTTTTACTTCATTTAGTAGGACTCATGATGACATATTTTAAAATTATTTTTATTATTTTTTGAGACAGGGTCTCACTCTTGTCACCCAGGCTGGAGGGCAATGGCACAATCAAAGCACACTGCAGCCTTGACTTCCTGAGCTCAGGTGATGCTTCCACATCAGCTTCCTAAGTAGCTGGAACTACAGGTGTACGCCAGCACACCCAACTAGTTTCTGTATTTTTAGTAGAGACAGGATTTCGCCATGTTGCCCAGGCTGGTCTTGAACTCCTGGGCCCAAGAGAGCCACCCACCTTGGCCTCCCAAAGTGCTGGGATTATAGGTGTGAGCCACCACGCCTGGCCTATGACACTTTATTGATTTCATATTTGAAGTTCCAAGAAACAAAGAAGGAAACAATTCACAGAAAGTAGAGGTTAAGGTGAATAATATTTATGTAGGAATTTACTACAAGTTTAAGCCTCCTTGCCAAAGTGCCACAAAAAAGAAAGTTATTGAATTTTTTAGTGCATATAGAATATGAATTAAATTGATAAATGTCAGATTACGAAGGACCTTCAAGATCATTTAGCCCAACTGCTTCTTATTATGGATGAGAGGCTGAGATCTAGACAGATGAAGTAGCTTCTCAGGTCCTATGAGAATATAGCTCAGGACCCTAGACTCTTATTCTGTGAAATTTACAATGCACATGACACCTCCCAAGACTGATTGTTGAAAGTCCATCAATGTAATGATTTTATTAGTTCTTTCTACCAAAAAAAATTAATAGTTTTAAGTCGGTTTAGGAAAACTTCCTTAATATATCTAGTTCTCTATGTTGAAAGCACTTTGAAAGTAGGATTGAATAAATGAAATTTCCTTTTATATAAATTACATCCATGAATTAACTCAAATCAAGTCAGCAAGTATTTATTGGATGCTAGGTGCTTGGGCTGACAGTGGAGACATCACTGATCCACATACACAGGGATTCCTGACAGGGCAATGGGGCTCCAGAGCTCAGTCAGCAGTTTACCTGATGACTTACAGATCCTCTTATTTGGTTTTATCAAAACTAACCCTTACAAAATTCAACAAGTGGCTCAGACGCCTTCCTACAAAGAAACTAAAGATTGCAGACAACACTAATATTGCAAACCTAAGAGAA
Organism: Homo sapiens; assembly: GCF_000001405.40. Classification (NCBI taxonomy): domain Eukaryota; kingdom Metazoa; phylum Chordata; class Mammalia; order Primates; family Hominidae; genus Homo; species Homo sapiens. The sequence continues at coordinate 109,924,727 of NC_000004.12, forward strand.
TAATGAGGAAAGGGCAGTCTTGACACCTTTCTTATTCCTAGGATGAGCTTTTTGTTGGCTACGTAAGAGCTGAAAGCAACGTAAATCTCCATAGATCTGACCAAAAAAAGTTAAAAAGAGAAATTAACAAGAAGACAGCCTGAAAAATGGATTTACAATTGTTATTATTAGCGACGAACCTCACAAAAACTGTAAAGTGTACCTGGGAAGATGTTAGCTAGTGGTAACATGAAGCCATCAGGACAAGCAAGATATTTGTAAATGAGTATCCAGGATCTGAAAATGATTTTTTATAATTTTTACAGTTGTGTTCAAAGTTATGATAGTTAAGAAGACTCTATTTACTAAGCTTAATGAAAAAAGTCAGAAGCCTCTCTTGAGGTTTCTTACATTACGGCAAAAGAGGAAAAGCCTGATATTATTGGTGAAACACTTGTTCTTCCTGCTTCCTGTTGTGGTAAAATATTGCTAAAATAATACATGAAAAACCACATGACAACAAATTAAAATGTGTTCCTTTGTAAACAAATACTGCTGAAAACTGTACAGAAAGAATCAATGAAAATGTGATGAAGTAAGTACTAAGCAATTATACTGTTGAATGGAAGTAAAGGTGTTTCTAATATATCACAGCGTATGGTTGTTTTCTAGAAAGTAATAGCCAAAATTTACTGGGAACTCACTATGTGTCAGACAAGATTCTAAGCACTTTACATGAATTACTTTACTTATTCTTTTTAACAATCTCTGAGGTAAGTATTACTATTATTCCCATTTTATTTTTGCAGATGAAGAAACCAAGACACGGAGAGGTTAAGTCATGTGCTGAAGGCCACACTGTCAATAGTATTGGAGCCAATAAAGAGTCAACATGAGTACTCCGTCTCCAATGCCAGTAATCTTAGCCACTATCATAATTACCTCAACAATGAAATGCTCAGAGAACTGTAATTCTTTTCTATGAGAGAGTAAGGGAAAAATGCAACAGAAAAGAAATTTTCTCAGTGAAAGTTCTCAGAAGTCAGAAATGACTTTTTTATATATCAGAAAATGTTCTATGAAAAAAATGGTATAAGTGTATTCAGCAGTGGTACACCCACTGCATTTACTAGGACATCAACCAAAAAGCATTCTTGGTGAGATCACAGAGAACACCACAGCCTTCACAGCAAGACGTGTGGCAAAGAAGTTGAAACTGGAATTGCATCAAGCATTATGGAACATCATTGATGTAGTTATTCCTATAAAACAAGACTAGTCTCTTTATAATACTTTGTACTGGATGGGGAGTAATCATAAAAATCTTTGTCTTACATACTTCCCACAAAGTATCTTGAAGCAAAGCACTTAATAGAACAGTCAAATGTCACATGTCACAAAACGTCAAATGTCACAAGCAGGAGGATTGCTTGAGGCCAGAGTTTGTGACCAGCCTAGGCAACATAGGAGACCCTATCTCTACAAATAACTTAAAAACTTAGCTGGGCATGGTGGTATGTGACTGTAGTCTTGGCTTTTCGGAAGGCTGAGGCGGGAGGATCTCTTGAGCCCAGGAGTTCAAGGCTGCAGTGAGCTAGGATTGTGCTACTGCACTCCAGCCTGGGCAACAGAGTGAGACACTGTCTTTTTTTTTTTTTTTTTTTTCCGAGACGGAGTCTCTCTCTGTCGCCCAAGCTGGAGTGCAGTGGCGCGATCTCGTCTCACTGCAAGCTCCACCTCTCGGGTTCACGCCATTCTCCTGCCTCAGCCTCCCGAGTAGCTGGGACTACAGGCGCCCGCCACCACACCCGGCTAATTTTTTTTTGTATTTTTAGTAGAGACGGGGTTTCACCGAGTTAGCCAGGATGGTCTCGATCTCCTGACCTCGTGGTCCGCCTGCCTCGGACTCCCAAAGTGCTGGGATTACTGGCGTGAGCCACTGCACTCGGCCGTGACACCGTCTTTAAAAGAAGAAAAAGAAAAGGACAAGTGTTTAACAATTTTTGGCTTTTTAAAAATTTTTGTGATTACAGATAGATGTCAGTAGTATGCTACCCAAAAAGTAACTAAAACAACAAAACTTTATCCAAGTTATAGGTGATGTTTTAACAAGTGAGAAAGTGACCACTAATTATAAGAAATTTGTGTAGGAAGAGAGCAGTTTGAAGATAGATGTTGGAGATGTTTCCATTGTTATGTGATTTTATTGTTGAATCAATGCCAATATGTCACCTGTTAAAAATTCTTGTGTCTGCGCTTTTAAAACATTTACAAACAGCTTTCTAAGCTATTTTAAAAAAATCTTCCAAATACAGAGTTTTTGTCTTTTTAAATCCACTTGTTAAAAACGTAAAATGCAATACCTTCTGGTTAGTTTTCATTTACTGTTTAAAATCTAGAAAGATAGAAATTTGCTGGTCTAATTCAACAAAATTTGTGAATAATCGAGGGATGTAATTAAAAAGTAAATTTTGTGATTTTGTAAATACAGCCAATGATGCATTTATTTCATCTGATGTAGACATAATTGTGAAAAATTATTTTTGTTTAAAAAAGCTGTCAAAAACCAAATATCAAAACATGTTGATCTTTAAACTAGATTTTTTATCAAATTCAAGCTTTTCAGTAAATGCAAACTAATCAGAAGGTGTTATGTAATCTCAATTTTTAACATGCGGGGGGACTTTTGGGACTGTGGGGCATTCCTAACTGGAGATGTCCACCAAAGACATGTCCAGGCCGGGCGCAGTGGCTCATGCCTGTAATCCTAGCACTTTGAGAGGCCGAGGCAGGCGGATCACGAGGTCAGGAGATTGAGACCATCCTGGCTAACACAGTGAAACCCCGTCTCTACTAAAAACACAAAAAATTAGTTGGGCGTGGTGGCGGGCGCTTGTGGTCCCAGCTACTCGGGAGGCTGAGGCAGGAGAATAGCGCGAACCCGGGAGGCAGAGTTTGCAGTGAGAGGAGATTGTGCCACTGCACTCCAGCCTGGGCGACAGAGAGAGACACCGTCTCAAAAAAAAAAAAAAAAAAGACATGTCCAAAAGTAGATGCAAAACTCAGTAGACAGATCAGGATAGTGATTTCTGAATTTTGCCGTGTGTGTGTGTGTGTGTGTGTGTGTGTGTGTGTGTGTGTGTGAAACATTTGGAAAAACTTTTCTAATGCTTTAATGTTGGTAAATTCATTTTAGTCTAGTAATGGTAGACTTTAAATAAAATTGAGCATAATTTGTGTTGAAAAGCTGAGGGGTGTTTAAACTTACTTAAGGTGAAGGATTACCTATAGCATAGGAACATTATAACGGTTCACTGTTCTGCAAAACTGAATTATTATGAGTTTTAAAAGTTATAATGAGCTGTAGTATTGGATAAGGGATAGACACATAAATTAATAGAACAGAAGAGAAAGTTCAGAAACGGACTCACACAAGTACACTCATTTGATATTTAACAAAGATGTTAAAGCAATTTAATGGTGAAAGGCCAGTCTTTTTCAACAAAGGGTGTTGGACCAATTAGACATCTATAAGCAAAATAATAAACATCAATCAATACATGCAAGATATACATTAGTTTGATCAGGAAACGAGGGACAACTCAAAGAGTAGGGTAAGGTGGGGTTAGGTTCCAGGTCACAGAAAGTTTTTCAAAGATTTTCTGATTGGCAATTAATTAAAAGACTTATCATCTAAGGACCTGGAATCAGTAGAAAGGAATGTCTGGGTTAAGATAAGGGGTTGTGGAGACCAAGGTTTTATTATGCAGATGAAACCTCCAGACAGCAGGCTTCAGAGCTCTTATAAGATCTAAAAAGGTGCCAGACTCTTAGTTAATTCTCTCCTGGGTCGGGGGAAAGGCCTAGAAATGAATGGGGATTACCTGCAGAATGTAGATTTTCCCAACGAGAGACAGCTTTGCAGGACCATTTCAAAACATGTCAAAGAAATATATTTTGGGATAAAATATTTTGATTTCTTTCAGGGTCTGCTATTTGTCGTGTGATGCTATACTAGAGTCAGTCTGGAATTTGGTTGTCCTATTGCTACAAAAAGTCTGTTTTGTCAATCTTAAGATCTTTCTTTTAATGTTAATGCTGGTCAGCTGTGCCTGAATTCCAACGGGAGGAGGGTGTAATAAGGCATGTCCCACCCTCACTTCCCATCATGGCCTGAACTAGTTTTTCAGGTTGACTTTGAAATGCCCTTGGCTGAGAGGAGGGGTCTATTCAGTTGGTTGGGAGGCTTAGAATTTTATTTTTTGTTTACAAATGCAATATATTATAGAAGTAGATATAAAATTATTCAGGTGATGTAATTATAGGAATCTATTTAAAGGGACCTGCTTTATAATTAATTATGGAAGATGGATGTAGGGAATCCAGCCTTATGGTGAATATGCCTAGAACAGTGTTTCCTGGTGTGGGTTCCTTGACACAACTGAACTAAAACACACTGAACAATTTCTAGTACATTCAGATAAGCAGTATAGCTTGGTCTTTAAAAGCTAGGGTCTGTGTTGAGAAAGGCATAGCTTTGTACCCCTACCCCGCTATTTATTGGCCTTGTGACTTGTGGCAAGTTAACTGCTTGAAACTTTCCTTTCTTCTTCTGTAAAATAGAGATGTTGAGAGCATTTACCTCCTAGTGTTCTCCAATTGAATGAAATAATGCATTCAATATGCTCCCCCAGAGATAACACACAATATGTTGACTGTAATTATTCTGATGAAATTCACCACCCACCCTGTTAGAGTGTTAGAGTGTGGAATAGCACATTAAAGACTGAGAAGTCCTGTTGAAAACAAAACGAAACAAGTTTCATGTTGCAGAACTTGCTAGTCTCAATTAATATCCTGAGGACCTGGAAAGTAAGCCTCTTCAGTTTACATGTAAATGTGGCTGGGGGTAGGTAGGGGCTGTTTTCTGCTCTGGATGACACATTTCTATCACTACTCTAGGCAATCTTCATTCACAATTTTGGTGAAGCAAAATGAGTTCCAGAGCATTTTTTTAATGGAATTAAGACTTAAATTCAAATCTCCTGGCTCTTCTTTCTGGGTGCATTATTTTTAAATCATCTGGCTTCTCTCTCTCACTTGACCTGAATTTTGACATAGATGAATAAACTGAGAAGAAAGCTGTGAAAAGAAATTTGTGCTTGATATGGTTGGCTGTGTGTCCCCACTCAAATTCCATCTTGAATTGTAATCCCCAGGTGTTGAGGGAGAGACCTGGTGGGAAGTGATTGGATCATGGGGGCGGTTTCCCCAGTGGTGTTCTCCTAATAGTGAGTGAGTTCTCACGAGATCTGATGGTTTTATAAGGGGCTTCACCGCTTTGCTGTCTCTTCTCGCTCCTGCCGCATGTGGAGAAGGTGCTTGCTTCCACTTTGCCTTCCGCCATGATTGTAATTTTCCTGAGGCCTCACCAGCTGTGTGGAGCTGTCAGTCAATTAAACCTCTTTCCTTTGTAAGTTACCCAGTCTTGGGTATTTCTTTATAGCAGTGTGAAAATGGACTAATACAGTGCTCTTTTAAGTACCGTAACTGAAGAGGAGATGAGATAGTTTTTTGGAGTGAATAAAACGTTCTGTACTTCATAAAACCCAAGCTGTCATTTAAGTCAGCACCTGGGGAGTAGTAATAAATGACTCTTCTTAGGGGCTTTCTGTGGGAGCAGTGTGAGGAGGCCTCAGCCTTCCTTATGTAGGTCCATTAGTTTAGAGCCACATTCTTTTCTCATGGTGTCACTGAAGTTTTTGAGGTCCAGAAGCTCCCTTTGCACTCTCTTCATCTTGTGAGCTTTCAGTCTGTCTCTAGATTTAGGGCAAGAAACCTGTGGTGGTGAGGGCAGGTGGCAATGTTCACCTGATAGACAGCTAGGATTTCTTGTTAATCTGGTTGTGGTTATCATTTATGTGTTAACTAGCTCTCATGAGTGTTTGCCCCCAAGGCCTGCAGAAGACAGGTAATGTCTCTTCTCACTTACCTGTGTGGGGCACTCCCTCAGACTCACAGAGGATGAAGGGGTGTGTGTTATAAAATGTTCTGTTTCTGCTTCCTACTTCAAGCAAAGCTTGCTTTTCATCACTGACCTCTGTGTTATGTAGTCATAGTTCTTTGTAGTCACTGATGAACATCTTCAATGTGCTCCAAACATTCTGAACTCCTTTCTAATTCCTGAAGATCCCCTACTAATCCCTAGGTTGAGAAGTCAGAGGTTCTAATTGATTTGCTGTTTGCTGCCTTAAGGTTTGTGTTCCCTAGAAATGATGTTTCATTTTGTATGTACTTCCCCCCTTACTGAACTGCACCCAAAACAAATGTTGTAGGTTTTGACATGGGAAAGCTTTAGCTGTTCAAACATGCACACCTTGCTGACATTCAAATCCACAGACTGTACCACACATCAGTGTTTACAGAGTTCTTGACAGGTCTGAAAAAACATTACCATATTTATCATTTCCATTGGTAGAACAGAATAATGGCAAATGATATACATGTAGTCCTCCATAATTAATAAAATACTTTCACATCTGTAATTATTATTCACAAAGCCTAATTCTCAAAGTGTTTCATTTTCTTTAAAATTATATTTTATTACATTCTTACAAATATAGCCTGGGCTCTGGTTTACATAAAATGATGTTGACAGTGTAGGAAAAATAAACGGTGCTTTGAGGGAATGGAATTACAATTGGCTACGCAAAGAAAATGAAGATTGTAATATCTTGACATGTGACAACCCAGACCAAGGCAGGGTGGAGTTGGAAGTGTACTAGATTGCGAGTGCACTAGATTGCGATTGCAGTACCTGGATTCTAATTCCAAGTCTACCACCTACTAGTGGTGGGACTTTGGGAAACATCATTGAATTTCCTCTTAATTAGATCCATGTTTTCCTGGTTCACCAAGACCTGAGAATCACCTGGAGTGCCTGGTCAAAAAAAAGAAAAAAGAAAAAAGCATAGCCCTCAGCCCAGCCCTGCTGGATTAACTGGAATCTCAAGAGTAGAGTAGGGATCTGCAAAAAATAGGAACATTCACTCACAGAGAGGCACCCTGGGTGATTATTTTAAACAAACAATTTTGGGAAACAATTTGAAAATGTCAAGAGTCTTCCTAGTTGCTAGGATCTGTATGCTATGATTAGCCCTTAGATGGGCAAAATCTGAAGATAAAATGTATTAATTATTTATACTTTGATTTTGTAGTTTTATAACTACTCTATTTTTTTGAAAAGTTACAGAAGTTAGTGCTATAATTTGTGCTTTATGAATTTACAAATTCTTGAGATTTCTCTTTTCCCTTTGACTTATTGGTTTATTGGTTCATGGTGTTATGTTGAGGATAAATGAGGTCAGGATGTAAAAATTTGTTATTATTATTGCTGTTAGTAAGATAACTACCATTGACTAGACCCATCTTTTATTAATTTGATATATCTGTTTCTATGGCTTTGTTCTATTAGTAAAAGCGCAAATAAACAGAACACAATTATTTCTTCATTAGTTTATTGATTTATTCAAAATTTTTGAGTGCCTATTATGTACAGAGGATTGTACTGCATTATGTGGTAAGGAATATTAAAATGTTTAAAGAGCCTTTTCTTTCTCTTTTTTTTTTTTTACATGAAAACCTCCCATTTAGTCATATATATATATATATAAATTTTTTTTTTTTTTTTTGAGACGGAGTCTCGCTCTGTTGCCCAGGCTGGAGTGTAGTGGCATGATCTTGGCTCACTGCAAGCTCCACCACCCGGGTTCACACCATTCTCCTGCCTCAGCCTCCCGAGTATCTGGGACTACAGGCGCTCGCCACCATGCCTGGCTAATTTTTTGTATTTTTAGTAGAGACGGGGTTTCACCGTGTTAGCCAGGAAGGTCTCGATCTCCTGACCTCATGATCCGCCTGCCTGCCTCGGCCTCCCAAAGTGCTGGGATTACAGGCATGAGCCACCGCGCCTGGCCCAATATTTTTTAATAAATAAAATATTTTATTGATCTCACCAATATGTCAATGCATTAGGAAATTAACAATATATATTGGATACATTTATTCAGCATAGACTATAGAGCATGCATGATACACATAGCAGAGAACTCTTAGAAATAAATCTAGATGTCCATGGTAATCTTTGCCCCACGAATTAGTAGCTATGAGTTTAAGGTGTCTCTTCCTAGTGTCTTCTTTTTCTCCATGATGAATTGCTGTATTAGAGACAAGTTATTAGAGACAAGTTATACCAATGTTCCAGTCCCTGGGTTCAAATCCAAGCAGTTGCACAACCTATGTAGTGAAAACTTGTTTCTGGCAAAAAGCAATGGCAAACGATATACATGTAGTCCTCCACAATTAATAAAATACTTTCACATCTATAATTTCATTTTTTTCCCATAATAATCCTCTGATACAGGCAGGGGAGATCCTGTGAGATGTCCAGAGAAGCGAAGCTGGTGGGGTCAGGACTGGAAACCAGGCCTCTGGCTTTCTGTCTAGTGCCCTTTCCCTTTTTCCCAAGATGTCTACGTGATTCTACAACTGCAGTGGAGCATGGGCCCTCGCTATGTGTCTGCATAGCGGGGCTTGTATTGTAGCAAAGATCTGGGAATAATAATTTGAGTGAATTCTCTTAGACATTTATGCTGGCACCTATTTCAAACTCTCATAATCTTACAGTTCTCCCAGCCTCTTGTAGCATTTCTTTTTTTTCTTTTTTTTTTTTTTATACTTTAAGTTCTACAGTACATGTGCACAACGTGCAGGTTTGTTACATAGGTATATATGTGCCATGTTTGTTTGCTGCACCCATCAACTCGTCGTTTACATTAGGTATTTCTCCCAACGCTATCCCTCCACCAGCCCCCCACCTCCCAACAGGCCCCGGTGTGTGATGTTCCCTTCCATGTGTCCATGTGTTCTCATTGTTCAACACCCACTTATGAGTGAGAACATGCGGTGTTTGGTTTTCTGTCCTTATGATAGTTTGCTGAGAATGATGGTTTCCAGCTTCAACCATGTCCCTGCAAAGGACATGAACTCATCCTTTTTTATGGCGGCATAGTATTCCATGGTGTATATGTGCCACATTTTCTTTATGCAGTCTATTATCGATAGACATTTGGGTTGGTTCCAAGTCTTTGCTATTGTGAATAGTGCCACAATAAACATATGTGTGCATATGTCTGTATAGTAGCATGATTTGTAATCCTTTGGGTATATATCCAGTAATGGGATTGCTGGGTCAAATGGTATTTGTAGTTCTAGATCCTTGAGGAATTGCCCCACTGTCTTCCACAATGGTTGAACTAATTTACACTCCCACCAACAGTGTAAAAGTGTTCCTATTTCTCCACATCCTCTCCAACATCTGTTGTTTCCTGACTTTTTAATGATCGCCATTCTAACTGGCGTAAGATGGTATCTCACTGTGGTTTTGATTTGCATTTCTCTGATGACCAGTGATGATGAGCATTTTTTCATGTGTCTGTTGGCTTGTGATTTTTGCACATTGATTTTGTATCCTGAGAGTTTGCTGAAGTTGCCTATCAGCTTAAGGAGATTTTGGGCTAAGACGATGGGGTTTTCTAAATATGCAGTTATGTCATCTGCAAACAGAGACAATTTGACACATACATAAATGTGGTCTCTTAGGAAGTGTCTGTTCATATCCTTCGTCCACTTTTTTATGGGGTTGTTTGGTTTTTTCTTGTAAATTTGTTTAAGTTCTTTGTATATTCTAGATATTAGTCCTTTGTCAGATGGGTAGATTGCAAATATTTTCTCCCATTCTGTAGGTTGCCCGTTCACTCTGATGATAGTTTCTTTTGCTGTGCAGAAGCTCTTTAGTTTAATTAGATCCCATTTGTCTATTTTGGCTTTTGTTGCCATTGCTTTTGGTATTTTAGTCATGAAGTCTTTGCCCATGCCTATGTCCTGAATGGTATTGCCTAGGTTTTCTTCTAGGGTTTTTATGGTTTTAGGTCTTACATTTAAGTCTTTAATCAATCTTGAGTAAATTTTTGTGTAAGGTGTAAGGAAGGGATCCAGTTTCAGCTTTCTCCATATGTCTAGCCAGTTTTCCCAGCACCGTTTATTAAAAAGGGAATCCTTTCCCTATTGCTCGTTTTTGTCAAGCTTGTCAAAGATCAGATGGTTGTAGATGTGTGGTGTTATTTCTGAGGCCTCTGTTCTGTTCCATGGGTCTATATATTTGTTTTGGTACCGGTACCATGCTGTTTTGGTTACTGTAGCCTTGTAGTGTATTTTGAAGTAAGGTAGTGTGATGCCTCCAGCTTTGTTCTTTTTGCTTAGGATTTTCTTGGGTATAGGGGCTCTTTTTTGGTTAGATATGAACTTTAAAGTAGTTTTTTCCAATTCTGTGAAGAAAGTCAGGGGTAGCTTGATGGGGATAGCATTGAATTTATAAATTACTTTGGCAGTATGGCCATTTTCACGATATTGATTCTTCCTATCCATGAGCATGGAATGTTCTTCCATTTGTTTGTGTCCTCTTTTACTTCCTTGAGCAGTGGTTTGTAGTTCTCCTTGAAGAGGTTCTTCACATCCCTTATAAGTTGGATTCCTAGGTATTTTATTATCTTTGTAGTAATTGTGAATGGGAGTTCACTCATGATTTGGCTGTCTGTTATTGGTATATAGGAATGCTTGTGATTTTTGCACATTGATTTTGTATCCTGAGAGTTTGCTGAAGTTGCCTATCAGCTTAAGGAGATTTTGGGCTGAGACGATGGGGTTTTCTAGGTATACAATCATGTCATCTGCAAACAGAGACAATTTGACGTCCCTTTTTCCTAATTGAATACCCTTTATTTCTTCCTCTTGCCTGATTGCCCTGGCCAGAACTTCCAATACTATGTTGAATAGGAGTGGTGAGAGAGGGCATCCTTGTCTTATACCAGTGTTCAAAGGGAATGCTTCCTGTTTTCGCCCATTCAGTATGATATTGATTGTGGGTTTGTCATAAGTAGCTTTTATTATTTTGAGATACGTTCCATCAATACCAAGAGTTTTTAGCATGTAAGGGTGTTGAATTTTATCGAAGGCGTTTTCTGCATCTATTGAGATAATCGTGTGGTTTTTGTCGTTGGTTCTGTTTATGTGATGGATTATGTTTATTGATTTGCGTATGTTGAACCAGTCTTGCATCCCAGGGGTGAAGCCAACTCGGTCGTGGTGGATAAGCTTTTTGATGTGTTGCTGGATCCGGTTTGCCAGTGTTTTATTGAGGATTTTCATGTCAATGTTCATCAGGGATATTGGCCTAAAATTCTCTTTTTTTTGTTGTGTCTCTGCCAGGCTTTGATATCAGGATGATGCTGGCCTCATAAAATGAGTTAGGGAAGATTCTCTCTTTTTCTATTGATTGGAATAGTTTCAGAAGGAATGATACCAGCTCCTCTTTGTACCTCTGGTAGAATTCGACTGTGAATCCGTCTGGTCCTGGAATTTTTATGGTTGGTAAGCTATTAATTATTGCCTCAATTTCAGAGCCTGTTATTGGTCTATTCAGAGATTCAACTTCTTCCTGGTTTAGTCTTGGGAGGGGGTATGTGTCCAGGAATTTATCCCTTTCTTCCAGATTTTGTAGTTTATTTGCATAGAGGTGTTTATAGTATTCTCTAACGGTAGTTTGTATTTCTGTGGGATCGGTGGTGATATCCCCTTTATTATTTTTTATTGTGTCTATTTGATTCTTCTCTCTTTTCTTCCTTATTAGTCTGGCTAGCAGTCTATTTTGTTAATCTTTTCAAAAAAACGAGTTCCTGGATTCATTAATTTTTTGAAGAGTTTTTCATATCTCTATCTCCTTCAGTTCTGCTCTGATCTTAGTTATTTCTTGTCTTCTAACTTTTGAATTTGTTTGCTCTTGCTTCACTAGTTCTTTTAATTGTTATGTTAAGGTGTCGATTTTGGATATTTCTTGCTTTCTCCTGTGGGCATTTAGTGTATACATTTCCGTATAAACACTGCTTTAGCTGTGTCTCAGAGATTCTGGTACATTGTGTCTTTGTTCTCATTGGTTTCCAATAACTTATTTATTTCTCCCTTAATTTCGTTATTTACCCAGTAGTCATTCAGGAGAAGGTTGCTCAGTTTCCATGTAGTTGTGGGGTTTTGAGTGAGTTTCTTAATCCTGAGTTCCAATTTGATTGGACTGTGGTCTGAGAGACTGTTACAATTTCTGTTCTTTTGCATTTGCTGAGGAGTGTTTTACTTCCAATTACGTGTTCAATTTTAGAATAAGTGTGATGTGATGCTGAGAAGAATGTGTATTCTGTTGATTTGGGGTGGAGAGTTCTGTAGATGTCTATTAGGTCTGCTTGGTCCAGAGCTGAGTTCAAGTCTTGAATATCCTTGTTAATTTTCTTTCTCGTTGGTCTAATATTGACAGTGGGGTGTTATTGTCTCCCACTTTTATTGTGTGGGAGTCTAAGTCTCTTTGTAGGTCTCTAAGAACTTGCTTTATGAATCTGGGTGCTCCTGTATTGGGTGTACATATAATTAGGCTACTTAGTTCTTCTTGCTGCATTGATCCCTTTACCATTATGTAATGGTCTTCTTTGTCTCTTTTGATCTTTGTTTCTCTAAAGTCTGTTTATCAAAGACCAGGATTGCAATCCCTGCTTTTTTTTTTTTTTTGCTTTCCATTAGCTTGGTAGATCTTCCTCCATCCCTTTATTTTGAGCCTATGTGAGTCTTTGCACATGAGATGGGCCTCCTGAAACCAGCACACTGATGGTCTTGACTCTTTATCCAATTTGCCAGTCTGTGTCTTTTAATTGGGGCATTTAGCCCATTTACATTTAAGGTTAATATTGTTATATGTGAATTTGATCCTGTCATTATGGTGCTAGCTGGTTTCTTCATAGCGTCCATGGTCTTTACCATTTGACATGTTTTTGCAGTGGCTGGTACCGGTTCTTCCTTTCCATATTTAGTGCTTCTTTCGGGAGCTCTTGTAAGGCAGGCCTGGTGGTGACAAAATCTCTCAGCATTTGCTTGTCTTTAAAGGATTTTATTTCTCCTTCACTTATGAAGCTTAGTTTGTCTGGATATGAAATTTTGGGTTGAAAATTCTTTTCTTTAAGAATGTTGAATATTGGCCCCCACTCTCTTCTGGCTGTAGGATTTCTGCAGAGAGATCTGCTGTTAGTCTGATGGGCTTCCCTTTGTGGGTAACTCGACCTTTCTCTCTGGCTGCCCTTAACATTTTTTCCTTCATTTCAACCTTGGTGAATCTGAAAATTATGTGTCTTGGGGTTGCTCTTCTCGAGGAGTATCTTTGGGGGTGTTCTCTGTATTTCCTGAATTTGAATGTTGGCCTGCCTTGCTAGGTTGGAGATATTCTCCTGGATAATATGCCGAAGAGTGTTTTCTAACTTGGTTCCATTCTCCCCGTCACTTTCAGGTACACCAATCAAATGTAGATTTGGTCTTTTCACATAGTTCCATATTTCTTTGAGGCTTTGTTTGTTTCTTTTCACTCTTTTTTCTCTAATCTTGTCTTCTTGCTTTATTTCATTAATTTGATCTTCAATTGCTGACATCCTTTCTTCCGCTCGATTGAATTGACTATTGAAGCTTGTGCATGTGTCACGAAGTTCCTGTGCTGTGGTTTTCAGCTACATCAGGTCATTTAAGCTCTTCTCTACACTGTTGATTCTAGTTATCCATTTGTCTCACCTTTTTTCAAGGTTTTTAGCTTCCTTGCGATGGGTTAGAACATGCTCCTTTAGCTCGGAGAAGTTTGTTATTACTGATCTTCTGAAGCCTACTTCTGTCACCTTGTCAAACTCATTCTTTGTCCAGTTTTGTTCCCTTGCTGGCAAGGAATTGTGTTCCTTTGGAAAAGAAGAGGCAATCTGGTTTTTGGAATTTTCAGCCTTTTTGCTCTGGTTTCTTCCCATCTTAGCGGTTTTATCTACCTTTGGTCTTTGATGCTGGTGACCTACGGATGGGGTTTTGATGTGGATGTCTTTTCTGTTGATGTTGATGCTATTCATTTCTGTTTGTTAGTTTTCCTTCTAACAGACAGGCCACTCAGCTGCAGATCTGTTGGAGTTTGCTGGAGGTCCACTTTAGACCTTGTTTGCCTGGGTATCACCAGTGGAGGCTACAGAAGAGCAAATATTGCTGCCTGATTCTTCCTCTGGAAGCTTTGTCCCAGAGGGGCACTTGCCTGTATGAGGTGTCTGTTGGCCCCTACTAGGAGGTGTCTCCCAGTGAGGCTACACAGGCTCAGGGACCCACTTGAGGAGGCAGTGTGTCTGTTAATGGATCTCAAACGCTGTGCTGGGAGAACCACTGCTCTCTTCAGAGTTGTCAGGCAGGGATGTTTAAGTCTGTAGAAGCTGTCTGCTGCCTTTTGTTCAGATATGCCCTGCCTCCAGAGGTGGAATCTAAAGGGGCAGTAGGCCTTGTTGAGCTGCGTTGGGCTCTGCCCAGTTCGAGCTTCCCTGCCTCTTTGTTTACACTGTGAGCATAGCACTACCTACTCAAGCCTCAGCAATGGTGGCATCCCTCCCTCCACCAAGCTTTAGCATCCCAGATCGATCTCAGACTGCTGCGCTAGCAGTGAGCAAGGCTCCATGGGTATGGGACCAGCTGAGCCAGGCAGGGGAGGGAACATCCGGGCCTGCTGGTTGCAAAGACCGTGGGAAAAGCGCAGTATTTGGACAAAAGTGTACAGTTCCTCCAGTTACAGGCACTCACAACTTCCCTTGGCTAGGAAAGGGAAATCCCCTGACCCCTTGCACTTCCCACATGAGGCAACACCCCACCCTGCTTCGGCTGGCCCTCCGTGGGCTGCACCCACTGTCCAACCAGTCCCAGTGGGATGAACCAGGTACCTCAGTTGGAAATGCAGAAATCACCCATCTTCTGTGTCAATCTTGCTGGGAGCTGTAGACCTGAGTTGTTCCTATTCGGCCATCTTGGAAGCGCCAACCCTCTTGTAGCTTTAATTCAACGTACTCTCCAAAGTGGAGTTAGTGTTTTCTGACTCTAGAACATAGTCCCTGAGTAAAAGGATGTTAACCCATCATTTTGTTCAATGCTTACAATAAACACATTTATTAAGTCATATTAAAGTATTACTTTTGATGATAAAACAGAATGGAGTAAGCCCAGCACAGAAGCAAGAATATGTTAGAATTCCCCTCCATTCCCCACTTACCCCAGTGATTCTGTCATTTTCTAAAGGCAGAGTGGCCCAAGCCTCCTCACACTTGGTCAAGAGAGAGAGACCAAGAAAACTAACTTGACTTGATGTAACTAATTTCATCCTCTGGTGTCATCTCAGAGCATCACAGGCAAGCTGTGTGTGGAGTCTGTCAGTAATTAGTGGTGAGGTTTCCCAAGAAGGGATCAGGTTCCCAAGTAGATATTGAATATTGGGGCATCAGAGTTGGTAGGTGGCCATCACCTAGAACAGGAGAGGACCCCAGGTACAGGATTAGGGTACCAAGCAAGGCCCTACAGGCACCAAGAAATCTAGTGAGGTTTGCCACCCAGATTTAGCAAATAAAAATGCAAAGTGCCCAGTCAAATTTGAATTTCAGGTAAATAGAGAACAAATTTTTAGTGTATGTCCCATGCAATATATGTGGAATTCAAATTTATTTGGGCATCCTGTATTTATGTGGTAAAGATAACAGGGTCAAAATATTTCAGAACCTTTACAGGATTCTGAAATTGAAACAGCATTTCAATTTTTCCTGCTTCCGTCTAAGACCTTTTAGTTTTCACCGTCGTCTTCTAGGTCATTATGCTGAAGGCTCTGGTCATAGGTAAGACCCAAGGAGTCCATTTCCAAAATGATAATATCTGTAATTTTAGTTCTAATTTACATAATTAAAATTTACACTTATATAAATCCTTTCCACAATAGAATATGATGGGTGGTTCCTTTTTGAACATAAAAAGGTATTTTATGGATAAAGAGTAAAAAGTGTCTTTCTCTTCAGAGAGTTCATTTTTCATAATTTACCAATGTTCATGTCTTATAATCAGTTTGTGGAGAAGACAATTTACAAAGTGGAGTGTGAATATCTACAGGAACTCTTTATTGTCTATAAATAGACTTTATTTTAAACAGAAAACCAGTAATTAAAAATTATTTCTGCTTGTGTTGGTTGTCATTGGGAAGTATTTTGTTTAAATGAGATAAAATATTAAAAGTATACAGTTTGGTCTCTTTCTTCCCACCCAGGTCCTGCACCCTTCTTAATTTTCTCCCATGGAAATAGTATCTTTAGGATTGACACAGAAGGAACCAATTATGAGCAATTGGTGGTGGATGCTGGTGTCTCAGTGATCATGGATTTTCATTATAATGAGAAAAGAATCTATTGGGTGGATTTAGAAAGACAACTTTTGCAAAGAGTTTTTCTGAATGGGTCAAGGCAAGAGGTAAAATACCCTTACCTACAGTGTTTGAGCTGTTTTTGTACAGGCTGACAAATATAATATACTGAATTCTTAATGTATAGATAAATGAAAATTATATAACAGTTCAAATGCGTGTCTGCCAAATATAGGCATTTATTTAATCTACATCTGTGGTGTATATTCTTGAATAAATTCACACATTGATATTTAGAAGCCCCAAAATGAGAAAGTGAGGATATGAATGTAATTTTGAAAATATCTGAGTTTATTAAGTCAGATCACCATTTTATGATTAAGATAGATTATTTGCATGATTATTTCTTGCTATTTGTAAGGTACCCCAGTAGCTCTCAGGTGGGGGGCAATTTTTCCCTGAGGGAACAATTGGCAGTGTCTGGAAACATTTTTGGTTGTCACAAGTAGGTGAGGTAGGAAGGTGGAGACGATACAGGCATCTAGTGGGTAGAGGCCTGGGATGCTGCAAAACATCTTACACTGTGCAGAACAGCCCCAGAATAAAGAATTGTCCAGCCCCAAATGTCAATAGTGCTGAAGTTGAGAGACCCTGTTTTATCTGTATAAAATCTCCGTCATGGGTTTTGGCACCTGACACGTAGAAAGAAAAATTTTCTTCTTTTTATTCTCACAGAGCTTGCACTCCGCAAAAAAAATAATATAGCAGATGACAGATAAGTACTTTACTTCATGTACATACAAAAGATCCTTAATCTTTCTTTTTAGCTGGTAGAACCCTTACATGAGTCCCAGGAGGAATGTTTCTCTCAATTTGGTGATGGATTACAAAGAGCACATGACTAGAGAAACTTTAAGAGTTGATTCTCAATGCAAAGTCCACACTATTTTTTGTTTTTTAGCCAAATATTTCTCTTTCCAGTTATTCTTAAAAGCTTCAATTAGGTGCTAATCTGTTTTATCACATCTCCAATACTTGCTAATCTCACTTTTAACAAGGATGGCTACTCATTATCCTCCAGACATCTGGTAGTATAGTTTCAAACTCTTGAGTCTAAGAATCTGAAGGGTTTCCTATCAAGAACATGGAAAAACTTAAAATAGTTGTGAATTTATATCAAGCCATTAGGAAAGGATCAGCCTGTTGCCTAAAATTCCATCCTTATATTCCTTCCTTTGGGTTAAAACCTTGTTTATAAAGGACAACTGTTAAAATTCAAACAATTTACCTGGGTGAGCTAATTTATGAATGGATTGGGTTGGTGCAAAGGTAATTGCAGTTTTGGCCATTATTTTCAATGGTAAAATAAGTTGGCTAGATTTCTTTGTATGAAATGTAGAAATAGCACAGGCTTATGAGATTATGCAATTTCAGCCCAACTCTGATTTCAGTGATGTCACCTGGGTAGCTGGACGTCTGCCATGGTTGAATATTTACACCATGAAAATCTTTAACAGTACAAATTGGGGCTTCTGCCCACCTTGCAACCTCCATTCCCCAAGAAGACCAGCTTACCTGCCCGTGGCTGAAATTAAGATATGAAAAGTTCTGGTTGGGCATTTTTATCATGAAAGAGTTGGGAATACAGCCAAAGGTGCCTAAAAAGACACTCTGCTACTCTGGTCACAGTGTGACGGCATGAAGGACTATAGAAAGGAAGGGGCCTATTGGAGGAGGAGGGCCAGAAGAATAAAGGCCACAATGAGAAATTCATCGAGTTCATGTCTGTAAGCTCAGACTCCAAGGAAATCTTGCATAGCTTGGAATTGAGTTCAGTTGAAGATCTGGAAATTTCCATTAGCAAATGGAACTGAATAAGCTGTCTGTATGGTTGCATCAAAATTTCACCATTACTATAGTTGAAATGATCAATACATTATGGTTGGCTTCCTAATTTAAATAGTGTGTAGGATAATTTTTAGTTTCAAAGCTATAAATACTATTTCCAGAAATATTTACTTAAGGGTCAGAGGAGGTAAATGCTGCATCAAAACAAAGGCACCGTATCTGTGACTATTTTATTATTTAAACAATTTTGGAACTGCATAAAGATGACAAATACTTAAAAGAATAGACTTTTTATATATAACAATTAAAATAATTTTGTTGTGAATGGGGGAAGTATTAATAACAATTTTAAAATTTGATTTTGCAGAGAGTATGTAATATAGAGAAAAATGTTTCTGGAATGGCAATAAATTGGATAAATGAAGAAGTTATTTGGTCAAATCAACAGGAAGGAATCATTACAGTAACAGATATGAAAGGAAATAATTCCCACATTCTTTTAAGTGCTTTAAAATATCCTGCAAATGTAGCAGTTGATCCAGTAGAAAGGTAAATTCTGCTGTATTCAGACATTGAAATATATTTACAAATCTAGTGAAGATTGATAGAATTATAACATTGTAAATTCAAAGGGATCCTCTCACTGAGACCAAAGCCCTCTTTTGCAGCACACAGGCACCGTTTTCTATAGGACAGTTGCCTGCATTTCAACTGAGACAGGATCCCCCCATAAATATTCCTAACTATCATGGTTTTCTGCTATAGAGGCATAATTCCCTTTCTAACTTGAAATCACTTGTAATGTCTACAATAGGGCAGTGTTTACTTGTTGAATAAATTTTCATTCAAAATAGTCAAACTTGCCCTGTGAAGGAGCTGCTGAAACATTGAGAGAGTTGGCCATTTAAGGCACTATACATTCATTTTTGGGTCTATGTAATGTGTTTGCCCTCAGGTTTATATTTTGGTCTTCAGAGGTGGCTGGAAGCCTTTATAGAGCAGATCTCGATGGTGTGGGAGTGAAGGCTCTGTTGGAGACATCAGAGAAAATAACAGCTGTGTCATTGGATGTGCTTGATAAGCGGCTGTTTTGGATTCAGTACAACAGAGAAGGAAGCAATTCTCTTATTTGCTCCTGTGATTATGATGGAGGTTCTGTCCACATTAGTAAACATCCAACACAGTAAGTTTTACTCTTGGTATAAAATAAAACAATTGTCATTTGAAGTCCACAAGATAAATTAATTTTACTTTTGTCAATGGAACTGGTATAGTGGTTTAGGCCATAGATTTTGAATCCAAAAGACTTGAGTTTGGCCGGGCGCGGCGGATCACGAGGTCAGGAGATCGAGACCATCCTGGCTAACACGGTGAAACCCCGTCTCTACTAAAAATACAAAAAATTAGCCGGGCGTGGTGGCGAGCACCTGTAGTCCCAGCTATTCGGGAGGCTGAGGCAGGAGAATGGCGAGAACCCGGGAGGCGGAGCTTGCAGTGAGCCGATATCGTGCCACTGCACTCCAGCCTGGGCGACAGAGCGAGACTCCGTCTCAAGAAAAAGACTTGAGTTCAAGCTCCAGATTTACCGTCTGTTAGATGAGTGACTTTGAGTAGGTTCTATAACTTCTCTTATCCTCAGTTTCCTTTAACGTGAGGATAATCATAATATCAGTCTCTTGGGATTATTGTGAAGGGAAAGTAAATGAATACAAACAAAAATAATTAACAGAGTATTTGGCACATAATAAGTTCTCACATGTTGACCATAATTATTCTTTTTGGAATTATGATGTTACATATTTTTATCTTTCATTGATTTGCTATCATGCCAGCAACTGACTTTCCAGCTTTGTGGCAAGAAGCAGAAATTCGTCATGTGAAATTGATGTCACTAGAAACCCACTCTTACTCTGTTCCTATTTTCTTCCCCATTTTCATCACACTTATTGGATGACTAAAAGAAGAATGAGACAATGGATCTGGAGCTAGAAATTATATCTTATTAGCTCAGAGTATGAGGAGATAAATAAAATTTTAAACTTAATATACTTTTCTAAACATAAATGAGAAACAATTGAAAACGTAGGTGGTTAAAACTTAGACAATAAATTGAAATGAAGTGAAATTCTAATAAGACAAGGAACAAATGTTCTGTTGTTCTTTTTTCTTTTGTGGTTGCTTTTTAGGCATAATTTGTTTGCAATGTCCCTTTTTGGTGACCGTATCTTCTATTCAACATGGAAAATGAAGACAATTTGGATAGCCAACAAACACACTGGAAAGGACATGGTTAGAATTAACCTCCATTCATCATTTGTACCACTTGGTGAACTGAAAGTAGTGCATCCACTTGCACAACCCAAGGCAGAAGATGACACTTGGGAGCCTGGTGAGTCATCGTTGACCTTGCGCAGGGCCTGACACATAGTTCCCACCCATTCACCTGCTTGAGCCAGACAATGAGGCGTTGTAGGGGAAAAAAAATTTTTTTCTTCAACCCTCATATATTCTTAGTCATAATAGACCCCTGTAAGAAAAGACAGATTAACAAGAAAAAAACAAATAGAAGGCCAGGCATGGTGGCTCACACTTGTAATCTCCACATTTTGGAAGGCTGAGGTGGGAGGATTGCTTGAGGCCAGGAGTTTGAGACCAGCCTGGACAACATAACAAGGCTCGGTCTCTACAAAAACGAAAGAAAGAAAGAAAGAAAAACAAATAGAAATGGATTAACATGTACATTTTATATATACATGGGAGAAATCCGGGGAATGAATAGCTCTCAAAGAGGTGGCTTTAAATGCCAGTTTATATAGTATCTTTAATAAAGAACAGTAAATTTTTAGAGAAGTGACAAGACAGAGGAAAAGGACTTTGAGTTTCTATGAGTAGCAACTTGGGGGAAGGCAAATAAATGGCAGATAAATGCTAGTTAATAAAGTTTGTTAATGTAGGTACCTCTGCAGCCATTGCCAGGCCGTAAGGATCTAAAGTTGTCTTCAGTGGTTAACTTTTGTTATTCTTGGTAGAGAGGGGGTACCTATTGTCTTTGTAAATCTATGTCTTGCGTTTAGGCAAATAGAGCTTTTCTGCATCTCTTTCTTTTTAATTGTTTGAAGCTCAACAATCCTTCCCATTTTGGAGTGGCATATTCTGGGATCTTACAGGGCCATCTTCAATTTTTCCCACTGTCTCACCCCCAGTTTCTAATCCAACACCGAATCCATTCCATTCTACCTTCTAAATACATTTCAAATGTCCACTTCTCTTCTCTATTGCCACTGCCATAGTCTAAGCAGACAGGTACGTTTTGTTTGGCCTACTATAGTAGCCACTCAACTGATCCTTCTGTTTTCTGAATCTGATCCATTCACTCCCCTACATAAAATCCTTCAAAAGCTTTTCTTTGCACTTAGGTTGAAGTTCAGCATTTTACCAGTCTCATCAATATTTGACCAACCTGCTCTAGTGATCTCTGCCCTCACTAAAATTTAGTGCAAGTCTTGCTATAACTCCTCAAACATGCTAATCTCCTTCATTCCTTTAGGGTTTTGCAGTCTCTCTTCCTTGGCTTAGACTTCTCTTCAGTTCTGAGCTTAAATGTCATGTGCTCAGATAGGTCTTCTGTGATAAGCCAATCAAAATAGGCCCCTTCACCTCTTACTTTTTTCACAGTACACCTTTCATTGAGCTCATCACGAGGTGTAACTACATACTCATTTGCTTTCTTTTTGGATTCTCTCTCCCATTTGATTGTAAGTGCCATACAGGTAGAAACCATGTCTATTTTGTTTGTTTTTTTAGCCACCATATATACAGTAGATATTTATAAATAAATTAATTTTAGATGGTAAATGTTAGTAAAAAGAATGAGTGATTGACTGAATCTAGTCACAGTCCCAAATTTCCACTTCTAAATGTAGTCTTCTCTGAATTCTTTAGCATGTAATTGTTTTTAAAAAGTTGTCAGGCCTGTAATCCCAGCACTTTGGGAGGCCGAGGTAGATAGATCCCTTGAGGTCAGGAGTTCGAGACCAGTCTGGCCAACATGGCAAAACCCTGTCTCTACTAAAAATACAAAAATTAGCCGGGCATGGTGGCGCATGTCTGTAGTCCCAGCTATTCGGGAGGCTGAGGCAGGAGGATCACTTGAACCCAGGAGGCAGAGGCCACAGTGAGCCAAGATCGTTCCACTGCACTCCAGACTGGGTGACAGATTGAGACTCTGTCTCAAATTAAAATTAAAAAAAAAAAGTTGTTAGGTTTTTATGAAATACCACAAGGGGCCTACAGAAAAAAAGTTGTCAGGTTTTTAAAAATTTGTTATAATCGTTAGGCTGCTCAATGTACCTCATAAATGATGTGACACTAACATCTCACCTTTATGTAAAAGTTTTATTTCAAGAAGGTTTTAAAATATATTTAATGTTAGCCTTAAATAGCCCTCTGAAGTGCAGAAACAGAGATAGAATTGTTTATATCTTCTACTTTCTTTTTTTTTTTTTTAAGATGGAGTCTTGCTCTGTCACCCAGGCTGGAGTGCCGTGGCACAATCTCACTTGAATTCACAAAGCAAAAGTTGTGGGAAACAGTTCAACTCTGGGTTCTAGCACCACATTAAATAGCAACAACCTAGTGGTAATGCTATAAAGTAGATGGGTGAACCCATAATGGTAGTGTAGATAGTCTACATATAAAGGTAGTGAATCTGATACACTGCCACATACCTTCCATGGGAAATTTCAACTCAAGCTGTCTTCACATACAACTCATTGTCTGAGTGGTGATGACTCACAACAAAATCATAACCAAGGGCCATTATGAATAAGTATTTACTGAGTCCCATTCATAATAATTAGAGATATGTCTGCCATCATCATAACCCTCTCTTACATTTATATGTAACCTCAGAATTTTCAAAGTGTTTTCATGGGCTTTAGTTTATCGGTTTGTCACAGCAATGTTGTGAGACAGGAAGGGTAGGAATAATTGTACTTAATTCATCATTGAGAAACCTGAAGAAATAGAGCACCTTTTCCATGATCACATAGCTAGTTAATGATGAATGTGGGGGAAAATTTCCTATCATCAATCTCTCAGTTTAGTATTCTTCCTACCATAAATGTATTGTCTCTTCAGAGCCCCTCACTACTCAGCTTCTGTGACAGGAAGTTCAAATAGGATAACTGAAAGCATGAATTTCGGAAGAAAATCTACAATGATTCACTAAAGTGCAGCCCCAAACAATGTGGCAAGTAATAGAATTGGCTGGAAAGCCTCTGCCAGCTGCAGAGCCACAGACAAATCTGGAACCTGGAAGACAGTTGGCATTGGAGATTGGCTCCAGTTACTGACCAAAGGATGCACTTCACACATACTCCACAGGCAAAGGACTTTTGATTTCAGGGGCACTGCTACTTTGCCCATTATTGATTAG
This sequence comes from Homo sapiens, assembly GCF_000001405.40. Lineage (NCBI taxonomy): Eukaryota > Metazoa > Chordata > Mammalia > Primates > Hominidae > Homo > Homo sapiens. Next base: position 109,948,324 of record NC_000004.12, read on the forward strand.
GTTTAAATTGTTTTAGTGTCTTAGAAAGCAGGAGCTCTTTACCTGTGATGTAGGGCCTGTGGATCTCTTGATTTTATGGGTTAGATGAAAATATGCACTGTTCCACCTAGGGAGATGGTATATAAATTTTATTGGGTTTTCAATGTGTTTGACATCCTTCGGATTTTTTTTTGGGGGGGTGGATGAAGTCTGGCTCTGTTGCCCAGGCTGGAGTGCAATGTGCGATCTCGGCTCACTGCAACCTCCATTTCCTGACATCAAGCAATCCTCCTGCCTCAGCCTCCCAAGTAGCTGGGATTACAGGTGTGCATCATCACACCTGGCTAATTTTGTTGTGTTTTTGGTAGAGGTGGGGTTTCACCATATTACCCAGGCTGGTCTCAAACTCCTGAGCTCAAGCGATCTGCCTGCCTCAGCCTCCCAAAGTGCTGGGATTACAGGCATGAGCCACTGTGCCCAGCCCATCCTTCAGATGTAAAGACATACTTCTCTAGAGGCTGGTTAGTTCCTCATGGATATTATGCCTAAATTGCAGCTCCTCTGGTGATCTGGAAAGTGGTACTTTGCTTTACAAAGCATTTAGTAGTGAAACTACTTCAATGAAGAAATAACAGAAAAATCATATAATCTGGTTGATATTATTTTTGTTATAAAATATAAATATTTATACAAATATGAGTATCAATAAACTTACTTCTTGCAAAATGCCTAAGCTATCATTTATCAAAGCATGCTCTACAAAACTCTAGTTCTTTTTTTTTGAGATGGAGTCTCGCTCTATCGCCGAGGCTGGAGTGCAGTGGCGTAATCTCAGCTCACTGCAACCTCCGCCTCCTGGGTTTTAAGCAATTCTCTCTGCCTCAGCCTCCTGAGTCACTGGGATTACAGGCACCCACCACCATGCCCAGCTAATTTGTATTTTTAGTAGAGACAGGGTTTCCCGATATTGGCCAGGCTGGTCTTAAACTCTTGACCTCAGGTGATCCACCTGCCTCAGCCTCCCAAAGTGCTGGGATTACAGGCTTGAGCCGCCGTGCCTGGCCTCAAAACTCTAGTTCTATGGGATTTAATGAGGTTACTTAGGGGAAAAAACCTTTCGGGGCCAAGTGATTTAGAGATGATGTGTTCAATAAAGTTGAATGAGTTTTTTCTTGAGTGGAATTTCTCAGAACTATTCATATGGTTGTGTGCATCATTACTCTCTAAAGGTGACACAACCCATGTCATTTTTCTGTTTTATTTCCTATGCAGCAGCCCACAGGACTCTTGAATCTATTATTTGTAGTTCAGACCTCTTTTTTTTTTTTTTGAGCTCTAGACAAATTTTTTTAAAAAAAGGACTCAGGCATAATGAGCGTCAAGCTGCAAAGATCTGCTATAGAGTTAAACTACAGAGATAATTGACTTAAAACATGGGAATTTATTCATAATATACAAAAAGGAGCAGCTCTGGTGAAGACTGTCTGGCCAAGGCAAGGGAGGGGCTTACAAAGGCAAAGCCCCAGAGCTTCACATGGAAGATTGATTTGTTGGTTTGAACAAGTCCTTGCCTTGTAGATTCAGGTTGTCTGGTTCTGGAGGAGCTTCATGCTGCAGATATGTCTGCATGCTGCGCCCCAAGTCAAAGTAATAGAGCCACAGTTTCACCATCAGGCCATTTTCTGATGATCTGACCAGTTTCCTGAAGAGCAGTTGCCCTGGTCCTTCTTCTGGGCCTTGCTTGCTTGCTGTCTGTACCTTCCAAGCTCCGGGTCCTGTAGTGGGCACATAAAATGCATGTGTTTGGGCTCAGTAAAAATATCCTTTTCAAGGCCCTTATAGTTATCTGCCTTGTAAGCATGTCTACTTGGATTTCTTGCAAGTGTTTCAGGCTCAAAGAAAATAACTAACCTACCAACTTTCACCTCCCTCTTCCCCAGCTCCTCTCCCTCTAGTGTCATCAGCCCAATGAATGGCATCACTCTCTACCGCATCTCCCAAAGCGGAAACCGAGGAGTTGCCTGTTCCTTCATCTTCCTCACTCTCATCCCATGAAATCAGTCTCTGCATCCCAACAATTCTACTCCTTATGATCTAACCACTCTGCCCTTCCTGCAGGTTTCTCTCTCCAGCATCCTCCTGACTAGTATCCCTGTCTCCATTTTCTCTGCTGCAGGGAGCATAATCCCTCAAAAAAGAAGGCCCAGTCATGTCACTCTTTGATTAAAATCCACTGAGAATTCCTAATCATCAGTAATTAAAGTGAAGTCTCTTCCTTGGGCTCACCAAGGCTTCTGCTCATTTCTCAGCTTCTTCTCTCACCCTTGTTTATATTACATTCTCTGTTGCAACCATTCTCAAAGATGACTTTCCTTTCATGAGGCACACTTGCTCTCTCCTGCAGCCCAGTCTGCATGCTCAGGAACTTGCCACCTCCGTCCCTTCACCAGCTGTCTCTCCTCATCCTCTGAGAAACAGCTCCAACATGACTTCCTTCAGGAACACCTTCCTTGATCTACTGTGAGCCTAAGTTAGCTGTTCCAGAGAAGGTATTCTCAGGGAATGTGTTCTCAGAGAATTTCCCTAATCATATGACACCATGCTTAGCTGGAGTTGTCTGTCTTTTTATATTCCTTAGTCCTTAGAGGACAGAGAATACAACTTTCCATTGCATTCCCAATGCCTAAACGACTTTAAGAAACAAGAGTTGAAAAAACAAGCAAGCCAGGCACGGTGGCTCACACCTGTAATCCCAGCACCTTGGGAGGCCAAGGCGGGTGGATCACTTGAGGTCAGGAGTTCAAGGCCAGCCTGGCCAACATGGTGAAACCCTGTCTCTACTAAAAAATAAAATAAAATAAAATAAAATAAAATAAAATAAAATAAAATAAAATAAAATGCAAAAATTAACTGGGTGTGGTGGTGTCTGCCTGTAATCCCAGCTATTTGGGAGGCTGAGACAGGAGAACCACTTGAACTCAAGGGGCAGAGGTTTCAGTGAGCCAAGATCAGGCCACTGCACTGTAGTCTGGGCAACAGAGCAAGACTCCGTCTCAAACCCCACCCCCCACAAAAAAACCAAGTGAAAAAAAATTCTTTGGCACTCTATCTCCTAAATAATATAATAAGGAATAAGTTTTAAAGATACATAATATCTGAGTACATAGGTTTTTTTGTTGTTGTTTGTTTGTTTCAGTTAGAATTTGAAATAACCCATCTAAGTACATGCAGCTTCTTGGCTCACAGAGATGCCATAATTATTGCATGGGTACAAAATTATCTGTTCTTGTGATAATTTAAGGGCTTTCCTTATAATATCTCACTTAATCTTTACAACAGCTCTATTAATTAAGTGTGATAATTAGTGTAATATTATAAATTAAAAGTTCTGAGGTTTAGAGATGTCACAGTACCCTGTTGAAGGTCACAGGGTGGTAGAATTGGGATTTGAAACCAGACAGACTGGTAACATGCTGCCTCTCCAAATACACTCTATTATCTATCATTTCATATTTTAGATGTACCTTATTTGTTTTGAGAAGCCTGTAATTCAGCATATCATTATTTATCCATGGCCTTCTGGTAGTTAAGTGCTTCAGTTTGCACAGATCATGGAGTCAAAACCCTATTTCTCTCTCTCTTTTTACATTTTTCTTTAATGTTTTTTTTCAATTTCAGAAACTTAAAATCTTTCTCTTTCTCTCTTACTTCTCCCCGGCTGTCCGAAAACAGGCACAGAATGAATCTCACATTTTTTGTTGGCATGATTAAACTTATTAGCCAGATATCCTGGCTGCCCTGATACCTACACTATTATACAAATCTCAGAAATAGTGTGGGAACATTTTTGTACACATCTTAATGACAATTATTTCAAGTTCAACTTCTGGGGATTTTACAACTACTTTATTGCTCATAGATATTATGTTGTAAAAGGTCCAAATATTTTTGCTTTTTTCTGTATTCTTTAAATGTAGATTTCAGTTTTAAGCTATAAGAGAGCTTCAAAAGCATATTCTTTGGGAAATGAAGGTTATTTATTACTAACACTGTGTAAAATGCTTTACATTCATTTCATGCACAAAAAGATGGCTGAATTTAATCCTGTGAGTTCATGAAGGATAATTGTCTCCACCTGGAAATGTACTTGCTTCTGGAAGCAATTAGTATAGCTAAAATTGCCAAGGTGGGAGTCTAATTCATTTTGATTATTTTGTTGCTGGAGTGTCTACTATAAAATCTTGGTTATTTTGAAACCACTGGAAAAGAATCGTCCTAAAAAGATAAATATTTAGTTCATATAATTTTAAATTATTAGTTTAAACACATAAAATTCTGTTATTCTTCACGGAAATATTAGTAAAATATGGATTGCTATCTTTCTTAGCATCATTTATAGTTATTGACATTTTCTTAGTGACTAGAGTCACATTTACAAGGATACATGCCATTGCAGCAAGCATAGGATTGGTTTGGGGCAAAGCTGGGTTTGCCCTGACACCAAATGGCTGCCATTTGAAATCTCTTTTAAATACTTGAAATTGCTCTTTATCATTTTTATGTTTTCTTTCTTGCTGCTGGCTCTCACATCTTGCAGGTTTTCACATGCCTGGCTGTGGCCTCTGTTTATTTTCTAACCTGAGGCTTTTTCTTGCCACTTGTTTGTTCAGGAAACCAGATCATTAGTCCTATAGAATTTTTCACTTTCTGGATTTTGCAGATTATATCCCCGTGTGTCATTTAACATGTTTCTCTAATTTCCTTGTTACCTATAAACTGGTAGTTTAGGCTTAGAAATCTGATCAGAATCAGATTGTTTTCAAGAATGCTTTATGGGTGGCACTGCAGGTGGTTCTGTAAGCTTCCCCTTTGTACCACATTAAAAGGCACATGGGGCTAGTTCTTATTCTTTTTTGTGATGTTCAAAATTAATTAGCATTTCAGAGGTCACCAGCCTGGTCCAGCCACTGCAAGTTCCCCATCAGCCTTTTGCTTAATTGTTTTAGAAGCTATTGATTATCATTGCCTGGAGCCATTTTTTATTAGAGGCTCAAAGCAATGACATTCTAATTCTGTCACTGTTTATGCATATATTAGCTGGGATTCTTATACAAAGAGGAGCCTTTCCAAATCAGATATATGATTGTCCTGAGGAGGAGGAGCTTTTATAGGAAAGGTAAATTCAGTGTTCGATCCTATTTCTTAATTTACGTGTTTTCAAAATAAAGAGTTAGTGTCCTAACCTTCCAGTATCCTCCAAAGGTCACTTTTCTTTAATCATCTCTATAAAGTCATGGATTTTTAAAAATAATTGACATTTGTATTCACTGTAATTATTACCATTTTGATACTCAAATTGTACTATCTTTCTCTGGAAGGAACCCTGACCTGGAGTTTCTAGTCTGTGTGGGAAATTACCAACTGTCTTGCAGCCGTTGACACTGGCAGTCTGGAATGCAAGGTTAAGGCTACATCTGGGATTAGTAAGAAAGAACACTGGACTCACGCAGCCACTTCTACCATTGGTGAATGTGGGTGGGGTGCGGTGGTGACAATGGTAGTGGAGGCATATACACCTTGTCTTTTTAAAATGTATTTTTAATTATGGATACATAATAGTTGTACATATGTCATACCTTGTATTTTCCATCTTCCTGCTATGGGCAACCAAACTGCCAGAAATGAGGATACAATAAGAAAAGACTCAATGGGCCTGAAGGGCTCTTCTAAGAGTTAAAAGCATTTTATTTATTTATTTATTTATTTTGAGACGGAGTCTCGCTCTGTCACCCATGCTGGAGTGCAGTGGCATGATCTTGGCTCACTGCAACCTCCGCCTCCCAGGTTCAAGCAATTCTCATGTTTCAGCCTCCCAAGAAGCTGGGACTACAGGCACATGCCACCACACCTGGCTAATTTTTGTATTTTTAGTAGAGATGGGGTTTCACCATGTTGGCCAGGCTAGTCTCCAACTCCTGGCCTCAGGTGATCTGCCCGCCTTGGCCTCCCAAAGTGCTGGGATTACAGGTGTGAGCCACTGCGCCTGGCCAAAAGCATTATTTTTAAAGTGCTTTAAGTTTGTTGATTCATTTACTTTTTAATTCCTAAAAGGGTACAGATGGATATGATACCAAGTGGCTAAATTCTGGCTAGGTGATTTTTTTCTTTTTTTACTGTAATTAGGAATTCCAATAGCACAGAACGGCCATTCTTGTATTTTCTTCCTTGTATTTCTATTACTGACAAGAGTAAACTTCTATACTGTTCAGTTTGAGAAGTTTTTTGAGGAAGTTGAGGCAGTCATTATTGAGAACTCATTAATGATGAAGACAATAAACAAATGAAGCAAAAATATAGCCACGTTTTTATAGACATTTCATAAAACTAACATATATTTTATGTGCATGTTTATATTTATGCAAATGCATAAATATAAACACACACACATAGAATTTTACGTATCTGGTAAAAAGAGGGGGATTACAGTCAAAGGGCTTGGAATAGCATCCCAGTTCTACACTCTATTTTCTATGTGATCCTTAACAAGGCACTATTTCCTAATCTGTAAAATGGAAGATGATACTTGCTCTGCATAGCTCAAGGGCTTGTTATGAAAATGAAATGTGATAATACAAATACTTTACAAAGTGTTATTCAAAATTTTTGTTATGTGCTAAATATTGGGGATGCCAAATATTTAGTTATGACTTCAGAATGACCAAAGTTAATGGGTTTGAATGGAAGAGACTAGAAAGGCTTTGTTGATGAGGTGAGTCTTACATGGAGTTTGAGGTAGACAAAGATGTGATCAGTGGAAAAAAACAGGAAACGGAATCCCAAGTGCATTGTTTCAGAACTGGGCCAGGGTAAAATCTACAGATTCACTGGGCTATAGTAAAGCTCATGAGTGCCTGTGTGCTAGCCAGGCAGTTATTGAAGGGGCAGTTGGTGGTGGACATTAAACTCCATGATTAGGAGCTTTAATTGATCTCAGAGGTAATTAAGCCTCATTGCTCAGCTCTGAGAAGGAGTGTTCTCTGAGGTCAGCAGCAGCATTCTCAGTGCTGGCTTTGGCCTATTTTGAAGCTAAAGAACAGCAGAAGATTAAGGAGATTAAAGAAAATATAACCCTCAATCCTCTGTGTTTTGCCACCACCTAAAATGACCTTTTAAAGTGTTTAGTGTCTGAATTCAGGTCACGTCATCAGCACAACTAGGCAGAGGAGAATAGTGATTTCTTTCCTGCCTATGTCCATTATTGAAGAGTGATTGTGTATTGTTAATAAGCATCACTAAAAGCCATCAGCAGCATGGTATAGTGGAAAAAGTACTGGCTAGCATCTTGTGACAAACTGTTTTGAGTTCTAGCTCTAAGGTTGATTGGAACTTTGAGGAAAAAACAAATAGGGAGTTAGGTTGCAGGTGACATGATCACAGGGTTTTTTTGTGGATGTATTAGATGTTTACTGGATGCCTATGTTGTAAAAGGCACCGTGCTAGGTGTTACTGGGACTATAAATGTGAATAGGGCACATGCCTTATCCTCAGAAGTTTATCAATGGAAAAAAGATGCATATACATAATTGTGGTGGTGACAATGGGGATGATCATGATAAGAACAGATACAAATCCAGGTGAGAGGTAGTAGAAAGGTATGGGAAAAAAGAAAAATATATACTGGATCTAGAAGAACAAAGCATTTTCTACACCTGAGACAATAGTTGTTTTCTTCATTAGACAGTTTGATTCTCTGTTACCATACTATAAGCAGTAATTAAGGTTTGATAATCTTTAGAGGTATAAACTCAGAAGAATTTTTCACCAACATTTAATTCTGTTTATAACTATAGAATTTTTTTAAAAGAGGGATCTCAGTGAATATCTATTTCAACAAGTTTATTTTGTGAATTAGGAAACTTAGGTCAAAGAGATAAAGTGATGTGCTGTAAGAGGAAGAACCAAGACAAAATTCAGTTTCCCTGATTGGTAATCCAGTAATCATCCAGCATGCTGAGTTTGGAAAGATTTTTATAGGGCAAAGGAAAGAGTTTTTATAAGAAGCATAGTGTTTCAATTTTTTGTTATCTCAAGAAAGTGTAGCATTTCAGTGCTATTAAAAGGCCAACTCAAACCTTCCTGGATTTTTGTTGTTGTTAACTTGTACAGTTTGTAAAAATAAAAGTTAAACACAATACTGCTTTTTAAAAAGAAATTTAAAGTGGATGAATTTTGTCTCCAATATTTACAAGTTTCTAATTTTAGTCATTTACTTTTAAAATTTAGGCCATTTTATTTTTAATTTTGCTTAAAATTTTGATAGTTTAAGTGAAGCATATAGAACAAGAAAAATAATGTAACTATACATGTATAATTGGCATAAAAATCATAGGCAAGAAATAAAATTTTTGGAATCAATTATCCATAAGACCATTCAATGTAAATCTTAACTGATTTAGCAGGTAATACTGCAATGGTGTTGAAAGTTGACAAGACTGATTTTGCATTTAATTTTGTAAAGAGATTTGAAAAAACAGGTTCAAAATAACTAAGGAAATAACACAGACTAGCTAAAAGTAATTATTTGTAACTAAGATGAAGGTGTAACGTTTCACTAGTACATTAGGCCAGTGTTTCTGAAAGTGTGGTGTGAAGCAGCCTCCTGACATCATAATCACTCCTGATTCTGTAAAAATGCAGATTCCTGAGCCTCTGATTTACCAAATCAGAATCTCTAGAGGGTGGCATACTCTCCGGTTATCTCAATGTACACTAGGGACATTTTCAAGGGGGCAAGAATATGTTTCTACTGAATCTTACTGTTATTGGTCATGTCTAGTGATGTTAAATAAAATTTATGGGAGGCAACTGATTTAGACTGAGCTCCTGCAATAGGCCCCAACAGACCAAACCAAAATGAAGTCACTCATGCTAAAATTCCACATCAACACACCAAAACTAACTTGTTTATCTGACCCCCTGACGGATCAGGAGAGAGATGATAGCCAAATCCCCAAACAGGTCAGCTTTAACTGGTATCATAAGGAAATCCCATCTGGTTTAACCTTTACGAGGAAAGTAACCTGAAGTAAACTGATGTTAACCAATCCACTATATATATCATGCTCAAGCAATATCACAAAAGTGAATGTGCTGCCACAGCCAGTGTAGCATCTGTCTATTTTTAGACAAGATGTTGCCCAATTCATGAATCCCAAATAAAAGCCAATTTGATCATTTAATTAAATGTGTTGAAATTTTATCTTTTGAGATTTGAAGTAGAAGCAAATGGGTACAGACAAAGGAGACTTCTTTATTAGTAGATAAACAGATCAGAGAAACCAAGCCTATTTGGAGAACAGTCTCAGGCCCTCTGCCTGCTTTGCTCAGGCTCTTGCTGATTTGTTTCCTGTGTCCTTCCCAGCAATGGTGGTGTTCTCAGCAGTCCTTTCCTTAGGTCCTCAGCTTTTCCCATGATACATCAGCTCTAGCTGATTTTAACAATGCCATGGCTTCAGAATCCATGACCCCAATAGTTTTCCTTGGCCTTCACCTCTTGCCAGGCCTCTGGCCTCTGTATCTACCTGCATTCTAGGTATCTGCCCTTACGCTCAAGCTTGCTACTGTATTTCTCATAGTATTTTACAATGGTGCTATTGTTTTTAAAATGGGCAAAAAATAAGGTGCAAAAGAGACAAAAATCTCATTAACTTTTTGGAAAGAGATATGCAGTTGTCCCCCAGTATCCGTGGGGGATTGGTATCCCCCAAGATACCCAAATCTGCAGATGCTTAAGTTCTAATATAAAACGGTGTATTTGTATATAACCTAGCCACATCCTCCCATATACTTTAAATCATCTCCAAATTACTTATAATACCTAATACAATGCCTACATCACTTCATTCCTGTGAATTCAACATAGTGCTTGGCATGTGGCAAATTCATGTTTTGCTTTTTGGAACTTTGCTTTGTGGAATTTTTTTTCCCAAATATTTTCAGTCCTAAGTTGGTTGAATCCACAGATATGGAGGGCCAACTGTAGGTGTTACTAGTTTAGCCCTTGATTCTGGCTCTGAAAATCCCAATGGTACAAAATTGACCACTTATTCAATATAGCTGGCTAATTCAACCCAAACACCCAACTCGCTGAGCAGATTTTACTGTTTATTATGGAATATTTGGAACACGTGGGACACTGGCAGCAATAACTACAGAAATTTGAGGAGCAGAGATATGGCAATGGTATATATTGAGTCTGAAAGATGTTCATTAAATAATGATGTTAAAAACAGCTAAATAGCTTACATATCTAACCTATAAATATTACACTTAAAAAGTATTCTTGGCCAGGCACAGTGGCTCATGCCTATAATCCCAACACTTTGGGAGGCTGAGGTGGGCAGATCACTTGAGGTAGGAGTTCGAGACCAGCCTGGCCAACCCCGTCTCTACTAAAAATACAAAAATTAGCCAGGTGTGGTGGTGTGCACCTGTAATCCCAGCTACTTAGGAGGCCAAGGCAGGAGAATCGCTTGAACACAGAAGGCTGAGGTTGCAGTGAGCCAAGATTGTGCCACTGCACTCCAGCCTGGGTGACAGGGGGAGACCCTGTCTCAAAAAAAAAAAAAAAAAAAAAGTATTCTTAGGTTTGAATCTGTTTTCATTTCCTAAGCAGATTATTTCATTTGCAGAATGTGTGCTTTTTTGTGATAAAAGTACATTAGAATGAAAAAGCTAATAAGTAGTGTTTAGTATTCGCAACCTAAGAAATGACATCTCCAGCTAATCAGGATGCCCAATCCTGAGAGGTTTTGGAGAAGTAATACAATTGGAGAAAAAAGTGGGCTTCGGGATGCTGGGGAATCTGGGCTCTGGCTAAGTTTGCCTCCGTGAGAGATGCAGCTGTAGACGTTGTAGGGAGGTAAGACCTCTTAAGAATCAGGAAAAGATTTAGCAGTGTCCTCTGTCAAAACACGGCCCCACTCCAAATAAAGCATCTTCTCTTTTAGAGCAGAAACTTTGCAAATTGAGGAAAGGAAACTGCAGCAGCACTGTGTGTGGGCAAGACCTCCAGTCACACTTGTGCATGTGTGCAGAGGGATACGCCCTAAGTCGAGACCGGAAGTACTGTGAAGGTAATGACTGGAAGTACTGTGAAGGTAATGGAAGAGTCGCTGCTTGAGGGGAGGAATGCTCAACTGAGCCAGCGGCTTGTCTTCAGTGGGCCAGCCAGAGACTCAGTGGAAAACCAACTTCAAGTCCATTCTCCCCGTCCCCCACACAACCCCTGAAGACTATTTTTTATTTATTTTTTCTTGTTTGTAAAACCTTTATAATACTTTCCTATCTTCATATCTTGTGTTTCTAGATCAAACACTGAGAGGATGCTTAGGGGTTGATATAAGGCAGGGATTCTCTAAGTGGATTCTACCAACCTCTGCGTTTGTGTGCAAAATTTCAGTATGTGTACATTTTTAGGGGAGTGGTTTCATAGGGATCGTAAGAGTCTCAAAGAGTCTGTGACTCCTATCTTATCCCAAGAAGATCTAGTAGGAAGCCTGGGAAACTGAGCCAGGCTGGTTTGTCTAAGAATCCTCCTGTTTTGAGATTCTGGACCAAGTGCAACGAACTCAGGAGAAATACTATGTCCTTTTTCCTGGAAGGTGCAGTAGTTTAGTGATGAAAAGAATCCAATGGCTGCAGCACACATACAGTGGAATTAGCTGGGGTGAGACCTCAGGTAAATCTAGCATCTGCCTGTTAATTATAACCCCCTGCTTACATGGGACCAATGGGTGAAAGCCATGGCATAGAGATAGTGAGCTGGAAGGCTGGGGCTTCAGCCAGAATAAAACTGCTGGAGAAGGTTTCCACATTTAGGGAAAGGGCTCTGGTCAGTCTTGAAGGTTGAAGAGCACAATAGGAAATGTCCTAAGCTTGTAAAGAGCTTTCAAGAGTCCCTAACTGAAATGGCATGCTATATCTTTTCAAGGGAAATAATACTACCTTTTTCCCAAGGGTTATTCTAATATGAAAATCTGTATTTGAAAGTATAAGCTGGGCCAGGCGTGGTGACTCACACTTGTAATCTCGGCACTTTGGGAAGCCAAGGCGGGCAGATCACTTGAGTCCCAGAGTTCAAGATCAGCCTGAGCAATGTAGCAAAACCCCATGTCTACAAAATATACAAAAATTAGCTGAGTGTTGTGGTGTGCACCTGTAGTCCCAGCTACTCAGGAGGCTGAGGTGGGAGGATCACTTGAGCTTGGGAAGCAGAGGTTGCAGTGAGCTGAGATCGTGGCATTGCACTCCAGCCTGGGTGACAGAGCCAGACTCTATCTCGGGGAAAACAAAAGCATAAAATGTGACAGAATAGAAATGGCTTTTATCATCATTTAATTGACTTATTTTACCCTTTGCTAGAGTATGGAAAACAGACTTTCCATGATCAATTACAGCATATACAAGTGTGAGATACCCTGCGTTGTGATGACTTATTAGTGATAGCACAATTTATTTTCAAAAATAGCCATTTGAATGTATTGTGCTGTTGTCATTGTGCAGATGTTAATGAATGTGCTTTTTGGAATCATGGCTGTACTCTTGGGTGTAAAAACACCCCTGGATCCTATTACTGCACGTGCCCTGTAGGATTTGTTCTGCTTCCTGATGGGAAACGATGTCATCGTAAGTTATAGCAACAAGTATTTATTGCATTAGTTTTCTTCATTTTCAATATGTTTCTAAGGTGGCTATGATCTGGGTTGGTGATCTTCAATCAGCAGTGTGCATCATAATTACCTTTGAGTTTTATTTTGTTTGGCTTTTTAAAACATGGATGACTGCCAGCCTGGGCAACATGGTGAGACCCTATCTCTACTAAAAATACAAAAAAAAAAAAAACTTAGCCAGGCATGTTGGCCCATGCCAGTGGTCCCAGCTACTGAGGAGGCTGAGGCAGAAGGATCACTTGAACCAGGAGGAGGAGGCTGCAGTGAGCCGAAATCAAGCCACTGCCCTTCCTGGGTGATGGAGTGAGACCCTGTCTCAAAAAGCAAAACAAAACAAAAACCATGGATGACTGGACTCTACCCCAGACCTATCAAATCAGAACCTCTCAGGTTGGGAAACAAATCATCTATAATCTATGTATTATAGGTATTTTCCTGTTTCTTTGTCTGTATTACCTTATATTTCATTGTCTATCTCTTTTTTATTTTAATTTTTTAATTTTTAAAAATAACTATTGGGTACTACATTTCATTGTATATCTCTAAAGGATAGGCATGTAAAAAACATAATCATGATACATTATTGTATCTAAAAAACTTAACTATAATTCCTTCCTATCATTTAATATCCAGTTAATTTTCAGGCATAACCACAATACCATTGTTATGCATTAAAAAATTAAGGCTAGGCACAGTGGCTCACACCTGTAATCCCAACACTTTGGGAGGTCAAGGCAGGAGGATCACCTGGCAATATTAGCAACTGATTGCAATAAATTTTTGCAAACCCGATTTAACACTAATCTTGACCTTGTTCTTTATTAATTAGAACTTGTTTCCTGTCCACGCAATGTGTCTGAATGCAGCCATGACTGTGTTCTGACATCAGAAGGTCCCTTATGTTTCTGTCCTGAAGGCTCAGTGCTTGAGAGAGATGGGAAAACATGTAGCGGTGAGTTTATTTGCTTTATTTACCTTTTGTTTGTTTGAAAACATACATTTGCTCAGTGACATCTAAAAATTGATCTTGTTGTCAAGGAAGAATTGATTTTCCAATATTGTATACTGAAAGATATTGTTACAACAGATTAACATAGATTTAAATTTAGTATTTTTGGGTTTTTGGCTTTTTTGTTTTTGTTTAGACAGCATAGCGTCTAACTTATGAGCAAGGGCTTTGAGGCTTGACAGCCCTGAGGTAGCATTACCAGTTACTAGCAGTTTTGATTTTGGTCTAGATACTTGCCCTCTCTTGGTCTTTGTTTCTTCAACTGCAGAGATACTGATACTTGCCACCTTGATTAAATGAGACTTCAGATGCAGAGTGCTTAGTCTGTTTCTTGCACCTAATAAACACCTCTCTACTTTTATCTTCATAGAGACTTAAGTATATAGATAACTGGATGTAACTCAGAATTAGCAGAAGAATTGTGTGTGTGTTTTTGATTTTCTAATAAAACAAAGCCAAGCAGCTAAAAATGTGTGAGAGAAAAAAATTACTAGGAAGAGTTAGACCAGCTGCCAAACTCATCAAATGGATTTTTCATTCTAGACAGCTGCCAGTGCACTTGCTCCTGAACTCATTGGTAGAATAAGAGGACAAGGGCCACTGGAATGTGAAGGATTAACATCCAAGATGTTGGGTTATAGGGAAGGAGGGTAGTGTGACATTTTGATTTTTATCTCTGAAAAATAACCTTGATTGCAGCCATATGAATGATTGTGGAAATGTTTTAAAAAATCAACATATGGGCTGAGTGCAGTGGCTCATGCCTGGAATCCTAGCATTTTGGGAGGCTGAGGCAGATAGATCTCCTGAGGTCAGGAGTTTGAGACCAGCCTGGCCAACATGGTGAAACCCCGTCTCTACTAAAAATACAAAAATCAACCAGGCATGGTGGCGGGTGCCTGTAATCCCAGCTACTTGGGAAGCTGAGGCAGGAGAATTGCTTGAACTTGGGAGGCGGAGGTTGCAATGAGCCGAGAGTGCCATTGCACTCCAGCCTGGGTGAAAGAGTGAAACTCCATCTCAAAAAAAAAAAAAAAAATTAACAAATGGTTGACTCGCCCCCATCCTTTGATGAAAAATAATTATATTTTGGATGACGTAGCATCATTACTAAGCAATTGTTTTTGTAGGTTGTTCCTCACCCGATAATGGTGGATGTAGCCAGCTCTGCGTTCCTCTTAGCCCAGTATCCTGGGAATGTGATTGCTTTCCTGGGTATGACCTACAACTGGATGAAAAAAGCTGTGCAGCTTCAGGTTAGTGCTGTGGTTGTCTGGAACTGTGTCCCTGAAAAAAAATTCATGAAAATCTTTTGTTTAGAAAGATGGAAAGTTAACTGCTTATGGTTTTGTATTTTTGAAATGGAAAAAAAGCAAATCACATTGTAAATATGAATAATATGAGTAATAACAATATAACTAGTAACCAGGCTTTTAAAGACTATTTCTATTCTTAATTAGCATCCGGCAAAGATTTGCCATAATATCAGATAGAATATTTTTAGTATATGAGAAAGTCATGACAAGAATAGTCTTAAAACACTTTATAGTTAAGAGGCATTTAATAAGTATTTGTTGATTGATTTGATTTTTATCTCTCTACTGAATATAATTATAACACTGACAAATTCTGTCCTTTTAATGTCAAAATTCAATATAAAGTTGTACGCTTCAGCTATTTTTTTTGTCTTCTGATATTACCTCTCTTGCATCCTTCAACAGCCATGGAAATTCTAGATTTATACCAAATTGATTTAATATCTCCTGAAGGTTCATTATGTTTTAAACATATAATGCTCATAATGCTATCATGTAATGATGATCCTGTATACCTTGCCCTAGTGAGACCCCAATACTGTTAACTTCTCAGGGCCTTCATTAATATAGTGTAATCTAAATCCTTAAAATTATCAAGGGTCTTGCTATTAACTCAAATCATTGTGCCTCCCTTTAAGAAGTGCCCAGGCCAGGGAAAGTTACTTATTCGGACATGAAAGTATACAATCTACTAATATTAGTGTTTCAGTATGTGTGAATCAAGAAGATGTATAACCCTAAGACTTGCATCATTTAGCTATGGTGTTGGTTATTTAACGCTGTCTCTTTCTGTAAGTAAGCAGCTTTTAAAAGCAAATACCTGGAGAGGGAAGAAACCAGAGATGAAATTCTGGCAATATGTCACCTCCTGGAAGAGGACATCCTCTTGCCTGTCTTCACCTATACCACACTAGAGGGAAATTAAGAAAACAAGTACTGTAGAAATTGGGTAAAAAGGTACAGTGAAAGGGAAGAGTCAGAGATGCCTCTTAGTTTCTAAGGCACGTTTTAAATTCAGCCATATTTGAAATTTGGTTAACAGGACCACAACCATTTTTGCTGTTTGCCAATTCTCAAGATATTCGACACATGCATTTTGATGGAACAGACTATGGAACTCTGCTCAGCCAGCAGATGGGAATGGTTTATGCCCTAGATCATGACCCTGTGGAAAATAAGGTATGGTTTTGTTACTTGAACAGATGTGGACATGCTTTAAGGACAGAGTAGAGGATTTTATCCTAACAAATGACCTGGCCTACTTGAAAATCCTCTGCTAAGTTCTGAATGATTAGGCACAGAACAAGTTAAATATAGATATTGGAGTAACACTTGAGAAATTTTAAGGACTTTTTTGCCATCATAATGCTACCCTAGTCCTTGCTACGATTAGCCGTTTTATTGGAAATGATCACACAGTTTAGTTTTAGATTTTCAGTTTAGTTTCCTCTTTGGAGATGAGGATGGGAGACTAGCACAGTGTCATGCATATAGAAGGAGCTTCATAACCAGGTTTTTTATTACTTGCTGGTAGTGAGAGGAGTGGGAGGTTGAGTTTGGGGCATAGGAAGTATGGATTAGTAATTTGTGTTTTACATATGTCTTTTGAGGGAGGAGATTCAATGACCTCTTAACCATGAAAATCAGGGAACGTAAGTTTTATAGCTCATGTGAGAATGGCAATCTAACTAATAACATTATTTACATAAACATTTTATATAAGTTTTGTGTGTAACTTAGAATTTCTGTATCAGCTGGCCATTTGATCTCTAATTTCTTAGTTGTATCTGTGCTAGGTTAGAATGTGCTTGAAATGATGTTACAGTGTGTTTTGGAGATTAATCACCCAATAATGATACATTTATATAGTTATTAATTACCCTGCATAATTATTTAGTTATTACTATGTGGTACATTAATTCCTAGACTTTCAAACTTTGGGCTTTTGTTTCTTCCTGATTTGAAGCAGTCTGGTAAATGGCCAAAAGAAACAAAGTGAAGCCAATTGATTCTATATTTAATAGGTATGGATTGGTAGCCAAATAGAAGTATTTTTGCAAATTAAAGTTTTGCAATTGAACACTAGCAAACAATTCTTTTCCCTGACCTGAATCTATATGGTTCCATAGAACAGTTACAATAACAGAAAAAAATAATTAATAGAAAAAAGGCAGTTCAAGATTCATTTATTACCAAACTAGTTTTATTCCTGCAGAATCAGTATTCTTACAACAAGTGAATGTGGAGACCTAGAATGAATTTTAAGTCAGGTGGCTGGTTTTTGTTTCTTGGGTTAATTTTCTTATTTTCTTGCTACTCAAATTGTGATCTTTGAGCCAGCAGTGTCAACAACACCTGGAGATTATTAGAACTGCAGTCCTCCAGGTTCCACCCCTGACCACTAAATCAGTATCTGCATTTTAACAATATTATCAGGTGATTCTTATGCACATTAGAGTTTGAGAAGCACAGTGCCAGTGGAGTGAAGTACCCCTATTTGTATTTATGAAACATAACCTTTTCTATTTCATTTAGAAAGAAGAGTAACCCATTATTTAACGACTTACCATTTTCTGAATAGTCTCATTATTGATTGTAAGTTTATGTACACATGTGTACTCACAGTTAAAATTCTACAATGCTTTCATTAAATTATCAACTGACCCATATCTTTAAAAAAATATATATATATATACATTTTAAATTTTTATAGGTTTAGGGGTACAAGTACAGTTGTCTTACATGGATAGATTGTGTAGTGGTGAAGTCTGGGCTTTTAATTTACCTATCACCTGAATAGTGAACATTGTTCCCATAGGTAGTATTTCACCTGTTACCCCCCTGCACCCTCCCACCCTTGCAGTCTCCAATGTCTGTTATTCCACTCTGTATGTCCATGTGTACCCATTGTTCAGCTCTCACATATAGGTGAGAACATGCAATTTTTGATTTTCTATTTGAGTCATTTCACTTAGTATAATGCCTTCCAATTCCATCCATGTTGCTGCTCACAATGATTTCATTCTTTTTTATGAGCAGTATTCCATTGTATATATATGACACATTTTAAAAATCCACTCATCCATTGATGGACACTTAGATTGATTCCATGACTTTGCTATATGAATAGTGCTGTGATAAACATACAAGTGCAGGTGTCTTTTTGATATAATACTTTCTTTTCCATTGGGTAGATAGCCAGTAGTGGGATTGCTGGATTAAAAAGTCATTCTATTTTTAGCTCTTGAGAAATCACCATACTTTTTCCCTAGAGGATTGCAAATTTACATTCCCACCAGCAATGTATAAGAGTTGTTTTTTTCTTCACATCCATGCCAACATCTGCTGTTTTTTAACTTTTTAATAATAGTCATTCTGATGGGTGTAAGAAGATATCTCATTGTGATTTTGATTTTCATTTCTCTGATGACTAGTGATGTTAAGCATTTTTTCATATGTTTGTAGGCTGCTTGTGTGTCTTCTTTTGAAAAATGTCTGTTTATGTCCTTTGCCCACTTTTTAATGGGGTTATTTGTTTTTATCTTCTCGGGTTGTTTGAGTTCCTTATAGATTCTGGATATTAGCCCTTTGTGAACTGCATTGTTTGCAAGTATTTTCTCCCATACTGTAGGTTATCTGTTTACTCTGTTGATTTTATCTTTTGCTGTGCAGAAGCTTTTTAGTTTAATTAATTCCCATTTGTATATCTTTGTTTTTGTTGCATTTCCTTTTGAGGGCTTAGTCATGATTTCTTTGCCTAGGCAAATGTCCAGAAGAGTTTCTTTTAGTTCTTCTTCTAGGATTTTTATAGTTTCAGGCTTACACCTAAGTGTTTGATCCATCTTGAGTTAATTTTTTATATGGTGAGAGATAAGAGTCCAGTTTCATTCTACTGTTTATGGCACTCCAATTTCCCCAGCACAATTTATTGAATAAGATATCCTTTTCCCAACGTATATTTTTGTGGACTTTGTCAAAGATCAGTTGGTTGTAGGCATATGACTTTAAATCTGGGTTCTCTATTCCATTCCATTGGTTTATGTGTCTGTTTTTATACTAGTACCATACTGTTTGGGTTACTACAGCCTTATAGTATAAAGTCAGGTACTATGGTGCCTTCAGCTTTATTTCTTTTTGCTTAGTATCGTCTGTGCTCTTCAGGCTTATTTTTGGTTTCATGTGAATTTTAGGATTGTTTTTTCTAATTCTGTGAAGAATGATGTTGGCAATTTGATAAGAATTGCATTGTATCTGTATATTGCTTTGGGTCATTTTTAAACAGTCTTATGGAAATTCTTGTACCTGTGTGATAGGCTGCATACTAGACTGTAAAAGAACTTCGCATTGGCAAGAAATCTTCTGTTGAACAAGATGGATGAATTAAAATGAAATTACAGTCATGCATCACTAATGGTCTAGCTTCTTGCTCCTAGGCTACAAACCTGTGCGGATGTTACTATGCTGAATACTGTAAGCAGTATTGTAACACAGTAGTAAAAATTTGTGTATCTAAACATAGAAAAGGTACAGTAAAAAATATGGCATAAGAGATATTTTAAAATGATACACCTTTATAGGGCACTTACCATGAATGAAACTTGCAGAACTGGAAGTTGCACTGGATGAGTCAGTAAGTGAGTGGTGAATTAATGTGAAGGCTTAGGACATGACTGTACATTGCTGTAGACAAACACTGAACATTTAGGCTACACTAAACTTATAAGAAAAGTAATTTCACTATGACATTTTGAATGCTACAATGTCACTAGGTGATAGAAATTTTTCAGTTCCATTATCATCTTACGGAATCACCATCGTATATGCAGTTCATCATCAACCGAAATGTCATTATGTGGCATCTGATTGAATATAAGATTAGAGACTAAAGGAACTTTAGCAAATACCTAGTCTAACTTCCTCATTTTTACAGTTGAGAAAATTGAGGTTAAAGAATTTATCCAAAGCAATCAAGCAAATAAGTGACAAAACTGGGAACCAGTTTTGACCTGCAGTGACTAAGTATCTCTTGACTTGCAGTGAAGTGGGGTGCTACAGACTGAGCCCAGCTTGTAGCCCTCATTAATTGCAAATCATTGCCCCCTTTCAGAAGCCACAGTAGTTCAAGCATGATGGCTACGTCATTGACCAATGATCAAGGGTTAATAAATTACCAATAGCAGTAGCAATATGTGCCAGATACATGGCTAAGGAGATCTATCTATCTATCTCTCTATCTATCTATAGCAATAACAATAGCAATAGCAATATGTGCCAGATACATGGCTAAGGATATATGTATATTTATATCTATATACATCTATCTATCTATCTATCTATCTATCTATCTATCTACCTACCTACCTACCTACCTAATAAGATTGATATTATTATCCTTATTTTACCGATGAGGAAACTAAGATTCTGAGACATTAAATAACTTGCTTAAGGTTACACGTATCTGGGAAGCAGCCTAGTTCGAATTTAGTTGCAGGTGTGCCTATCTCCAAAGTCAAGCTCTTAACACCCTGTACAACCTAAAGACTAGTGCCATTTGTATATATTCCACATTAGTTTTAAAAAAAAATCAGAAATGCCTGTGTTCTCTTTTGTAGATATACTTTGCCCATACAGCCCTGAAGTGGATAGAGAGAGCTAATATGGATGGTTCCCAGCGAGAAAGGCTTATTGAGGAAGGAGTAGATGTGCCAGAAGGTCTTGCTGTGGACTGGATTGGCCGTAGATTCTATTGGACAGACAGAGGGTATGTTTTCTGCTTCAGTTTTAAGCTGTGTGAGATGGGAGTGATGGGATAGGTAATACTATTGGCTTCATCTTCCACTTTGAACACAGAAAAATGTTGCTGGGCATTTGGTTGGGATTGGAGAAAAGAGGCCACCATTGCGGTCCACACTCCCTCCACTTCCTCCTTTCATCAAGATTGCATCTGTGTGCGTGGGAGGATTTTGAAGGCCAAGAAAGTAGCCTGTGTTAGGAAAAGAAAACCAAACACTGCATGTTCTCACTCATAAGTGGGAGTTGAACAATGAGAACACATGGACAGAGGGAGGGGAACATCACACACTGGGGCCTTTTGGAGGGTGGGTGGCAAGGGGAGGGATAGCTTTAGGAGAAATACCTAATGTAGATGACGGGTTGATGGGTGTAGCAAACCACCATGGCACATGTATATCTATGTAATAAACCTGCACGTTCTGCACATGTATCCCAGAACTTAAAATATAATAATAAAAAAAAAAGTAGCCTGTGTTTTGGTAGTTCAGGCTTTTGTTATCAGGGAAACTCAAAACCTGTCTGAATATAAGCAATAAGCATTCTCGGAGCATCTGCTATGGAAATAAGACTTTCTCCGAAGTCACATGGGAGATACAGAGGAGCCTAAGATGTGCTCCATCTTTTCAGTCGGTTCTTAGTTTAGCTGGGGAGATAAGGTATATTTCCCCAGCAAAATAATTAATGCAAATTCTTGGTCTAAATAGCAGTTCAAGAAATGTCATAGGGCCACACATAAATAATTGCCAAATGACAGGTGTACACTCCCAAAGGGAGCTGCCATGGAATGAGCTTCGGCATGCAAGTGACAAATCTTGGACTAGAATGTTGACTCCCTGTTAAAACAAGCATGAAGGAGGGAGGAGAACTTCAGCTGGAGTTGTGAGGAAAGTGCATGAGATAAGAGAGATGCTCTTTGTTTCCCTACGGTGGGAAAAAACAGAACCAGAGTGCAGTTGTGAAACCCCACTCTCAGAGCTGCAGGAAGGGCTACTGTACTTGGTGTGTATGCAGCCTGCGTGAACCTCAGAACTGAATGGCAGGAAGCAGGAAGGAAATGGCTGTATCCCTTCTGCGTGCGAATGAGATCCCACTTCCTTACAGAACTATAAGAGAAGCTGCTAACGATAGACCCCTCACAAAATAATACTAGAGATGCAATGTGCTCTGAGATATATTCTCAGAGTAACGGAAAGCCAGAAAGTGAAATGGTGGCCATCCTGAACATCTGGTACCAAAGCAACCAAGTAAAAGTAAAAGAAGGGAGAATGAGGGTTTAACCTCTGTGAAATCAGCAGTTTCAACACAGAGGGAGAAGTCCCAGGGAATGAATGGGTTTCTATGCTTGGGGGTAGGCATTTTGTGTCCTAGAAATATCTCTTTTTATCAGGATAATCCATGGGAAACAGGTTTTTAAAAATCTGTTGATGTGCTTTGGGAGGCCAAGGTGGGCAGATCACAAGGTCAGGAGATCGAGACCATCCTGGCTAACATGGTGAAACCCCGTCTCTACTAAAAATACAAAAAATTAGCCGGGCGGGTGGTGGGCGCCTGTAGTCCCAGCTACTCAGGAGGCTGAGGCAGGAGAATGGCGTGAACCTGGAAGGCGGAGCTTGCAGTGAGCGGAGATCGCACCACTGCACTCCAGCCTGGGTGGCAGAGCGAGACTCCGTCTCAAAAAAAAAAAAAAAAAAAAAATCTGTTGATTTGTTTATCTGTATGATATGGTTATCAGTTATCAATAGTATGGCCATTTTACATCCAAGGTGAGCATATTTTCTTTCATTCATTCATTTGTTCATCTAATCATACCTTCATTTCTTTATTATTTGAGTATTTATTTACTGAATAGTTGCAATGCACCAGATACTGTGCTTTATATCCATGACACTATTAAATCCCCAAAGGTAAGTTTTGTTATCTCCAATTTAAAGATTAAGAAAATTGATAATTGGAGAGGTAAAATAACTTTCCCAAGGTCAAGCAGTCAACAAGTACCATGTGGAACTGTAATTGGAACTCAAAGATGGCCATTTGCAAAGCATATTCTCTTAATAGTCATAAAGATGTACCACCGCCCCAAGCCAGTGTGGATTTAACATATGGTTGACTCAGAGTCATGTGACAAATTAAAATCAACTTCAGTTGTAATAATTATAAAAATCATAATAATGACCTCCTCTGTGTTGAACCTACTTAAAAGAATATTTTAAATGTCGGCTGTGTATAATAACAGAGCTGTACATGGTTGTTCTCAGGAGGGTAAACGATGATCAAAATGGCAGATGTCAACCACTCTCGGGTCCACTAAGGATGCCAAGTCTTCTCATATTTCCCCACATTCACAAGGGACCTCTAATTTTAACAGTGTTTGATTAATAGCACCATGGTACCGACTGCAGAGGCAAGGCGTTCAGGAGATAGACAGGCACCACTGTTTCCTGGAGAATCAGACCCTAAATTCCCCAGTTCATTGGCTTCAGTAATAACAAGCCCTTCTTAAGTCCTCCTGGCTCTAAAGGCAGCTGCTAAAAGAAAACCTTTAATTTATCTGGAAATGAGAGGTTTATGGTTTGGAAACCTTGATATTACCTAGAAATTGGATGTAAATAACTGAGATTCCAATCTCAT
Organism: Homo sapiens; assembly: GCF_000001405.40. Taxonomy (NCBI): domain Eukaryota; kingdom Metazoa; phylum Chordata; class Mammalia; order Primates; family Hominidae; genus Homo; species Homo sapiens. Next base: position 109,971,780 of record NC_000004.12, read on the forward strand.
AATATTAGATCACATGGTAACTCTTAGCCAATCAAAAGGGGCAAAGTGGGATGCTTGCAGTTCCTTTTTGGCCTAGGAAAAGACAGATTCAAATTAACATCTAAATGTAGGAAGGAAGCACATTGAAAATTCCAATGGTAATGCTGTTATTTAGTATCAAGGAATACTGATTCCTAAAGTCAATTGCCTAGTAAAGAATCAAGAAGGTAAAAATATAAGCTATCTATTTATTCATTCTTTTGAGGTAACAAAAACTAATATGAGGTAAAAAAAAAAATCACTCTTCTAGGGTTGTTGATGGACACCTCTTACCCTAGAAGGAGGGTGAGTTTTTCTCTTGGAGGATCTCAGTGACACTGGGACAATTAGATAATGGTTAGAGAGAGAAGGACACACCTCTAGATTAAAGGTGATGCTTGAACTCCCATGAACTCAAATATCCCTGCTGGTCTTTGGTTTCTCACTACCAACACTGGAGTTTGAGATTTGCTCTCTAGCTGAATCAAATAGAAGTATATTAGGTGAACACCTTGGGGGAGCTTTAAAAGTAAATTCCAGCGATCTTGCCTTGAGACAGCTGCACAGTCAGGAGCTTATGTCGTTCTCGTCTCATCACTTAATTCCTGCCCGAAACAGAATTTAGAGATGATGTCTCTCATCTCTAAGATGATTAGAGATCATCATGAGATCAGAAGTGACAGTTTCATCTCCCCTGGTCACAAGCAAGTGGCCTCAGAATTTCTTCCCTCCCACCAAGGGAAGAGGCACAGTGACAGTTGTGTCTGAGAACAGAACTTGACACATTAAGTTCAAAAATATCTTCCACCCAGCAGTATCCTTCTTATGACCACTTCATCCGGGAGTAAAATTATCTTTTTAAAGTGGCACTGGAGTAGAAATGGTTTCAAATTCTCCACTGCCTTTAGTTGGTAGTTTGCAAAGTGTTTCCAACCCAGCATAGTCACTGAGCCAGTTTTACCTTCACCTCTCTTCTGCATACTGCCTGTGAATAAGGCCCTGTGCATAGAGCACTGTGCATGTAGTCCTGTTCCCTACACAGCACCTAGAAAATAGTTGGTGAACCAGCCACCAGAGAAGGTCTCCTTAGCATTCTGTAAAACCGGGAGGAGGGAATGGCCCTACCTTGTGTTTCTAGGCAGGCTTGTTTCATGCAGACATTGCCCTCAAGAGCAAGGTGAGAGGCCTTTAACAGATGTTTATTGAATGAATTAAAGGTGGTTATATATTCTGGTTTGCAGCAGGGAAACAGGGAAAGCAGGCAGTACATTGGGAAAGGGAGGCTCTTCTTAGCCCTATTTATATCCTGTCTGCCTGTGGTCCCACCTGCTGCAAGAAGCTGCTGATCGTCCCTTGTTTGCTCCTGAAGGGGGCAGGGATGCTATAGAGTCATGTTTAGCATTTAAATTCATCCAGTTTTCTCCATTTCTTCTGCTACTGTTTTATCTCCTCACCGTCATCTCCTGCCTGCCTCGCCCTTTCACACTAAAGCCACAGCAAACTTTCTAAAGTGCAAGTATAACTGCCCCACATTCTTTAGGTCCTGTACTTTAGAACTTGTATATGTACATTCCCTTGCTTAGGGTACTCTTTCCATCCCCACCCACCTTTGCCTGGCTGCCTGCTTCTCATCTTCGTTTGTTATTATCTTCAGGAATCCTTCTCTGATCCCTGCTTGGCTGGGCTACCCACTCTGTCACCCTCCCTGAGTCTTCCAATTACATTCTTTACATCCTTCTTTTCAGCATGTGCTTTCATTTGCTGTGTTATAATCCCCTCTCCCTCTTTCCCCTCTTACTTCCCCCGACCTCTCCTCCTTCCCTTTCCCTCCACCTTTTCTTCCCCTCCCCGTCCAGTCCACCTAACCCTTTCTCTTCCCCTCCCACCTCTGCCTCTCTCTCCCTCTGTTCCTGTTGAACTATGAGCTCTATAAGGACAGAGACAGGGCTTTATTTACTATTGTATCTCCAATGCTTAGACCAATCCCTGACACACAGTTGGTGCTCAGTAAATATTTGTTTGACAAATAAATAGAAAAATCAGGAAATAAGAATTTTCTACCCTGCCAGATTCCATTGGGTTATTTAATGTAAAGATTAGCAAGTAATATTTCAGTACCATTGGCCCTGTTTATCTACAGCTTCCACATCTGAGGATTCGACCAACCTTGGATCAAAAATATTCAAAAATTAAATTAAATTAAAAATAAGAATACAGTCATAAAAAATAATACAAATAAAAACCAATAACTTATAACTGTATTTACATAGCATTTACATTACATGAGGTATAAGTAATCTAGAGATGATTTAAAGTGTACAGGAGAATGTACATAGATTGTATCCAAATACTGTGCCATTTTATATCAGGGAATTGAGCATCCTTGGAGAGTTCTGGTACCAATCCCCCACAGATGCCAAGGGACAATTTTACTCCCATTTGTCTTAGAATTAAATGGAAGAAAATTAAAGCCAATGTAAATCTCCACCTACTGTCTCTGTGCTGGCTTGTCTCCCTCGTCTTCATGATCCCATGAGGATAACAGTCTCTTTGCTTCTGGCTTCCATTGGTTTCAGCAGGAGATTGGAAGTTATAAAGAGAATGTCCTCACCCAGCCACTGACACGATCCTTTTACCTTGTCCTGTCATTGTGTATTTTCATTACCTGGAATAAATATTGGGATGCTAATTAAAAGTGTTTACAAATATAAAATTTGTGGGCTTATTGCTGCTACTTTGTTTGTGGGTGGGGGAGAGAGAAAGAGTAAGAGATAGGGAGAGAGAAACAGAAATAGGAGCTGGTTTAGAATGCCTATCTTTGCATTTCAGAAAGAGGAGAAAGGAGTATTTTTGTTTGAAAAGTAAAGGTGTTATAACAAACTCCCTTATTTTGCACATATTTTAGGAAATCTCTGATTGGAAGGAGTGATTTAAATGGGAAACGTTCCAAAATAATCACTAAGGAGAACATCTCTCAACCACGAGGAATTGCTGTTCATCCAATGGCCAAGTAGGTATTTGTAAAAATAAGGCACTGCTCTGCAGAGGTCATGTGACAGTTCATGGTTGATATGCTAGTGTCCAAAACCAGAAACCAAGAAAATCCATGCAATTTGTTCAAATCTTCAGCATGAATTCCTCATGCTTTTAATGTCTTGATTTTCTATTCTTGTATAATAATTTTATTGTTAATATGCTCTTTTAAATAAATTCAGTTTGTTTTTGAAAGAAAAATGCACTGTAATTCATTAACCAACTAGACTCAAGCTCATTCATCTACTTTCTTTAAAAATTTGCATTGTTGTTTACTGAGCAGAAAAGGATATTTGGATTATATGACTTATAGATTCTGTTTAGAAAAATCACAAGATATAGGTCATTCCTAGATTTTAGATGACAGAAAACAGAAACTGTGAAAGGTTAGAAGACTGTGCTGTTAATTGTGAGTTAGTGACACATTTTCATTTACAGATTAGAGATTTAAGGACAATAAAGAATTTCTTCCTAGTTGTTAAAAAACAAAGATAAAAACCAACCCTATTTTATTTACACTGGAAATTTCACAATGATTTATGGGAGATAATATATTGATAGTAGTTGATAATTGATTTGGAGCCAGCCAAATGATTAAAACTGTGAGAACGTAACCATTTCTAAATAGGCCAATAAAAATTATGAACCATATTGACTTCAAAAAAAATGTGCCCAGCACCTGATTTATGGAAGTTGAAATTAACTGAGTTAATAGAGTACATTGCATAAAACTGGGTAACAGATAAATATGATCTTTCCTTTATGTTGTAGTTTTACAAATGCAGTGAATTTTACATATGCATAACAGAAGAACAGGCGAGCAAGATTTCATTGCCTTTTTGCAGTACAAAATGCTAATTCAAGAATATTTTACTCAAGCCTATTTACTCATGACTATTTTATTAGTCATATATTGCAATTTTTAAACCAATTTCTTTTTTAATCTAATGATCTGAGCTTTAATTCAACATTTCTTTTCGAAGATGCTTTACATAGACAAGTTAATTGCTCTGCATTTCAAAATTATTTGCCGAACATACAGCGCTATCTCTTCTTCTGTATTCCTTAGTGTACCACTTTAGTATATCATGAGGTAATTTACATTGATATTTTCAATGATGAAAGAACAGAATAATTTATTTCATGCAGATATTATTTGTTGTGTGCTTTCTTGATTAAAGGAGATTATTCTGGACTGATACAGGGATTAATCCACGAATTGAAAGTTCTTCCCTCCAAGGCCTTGGCCGTCTGGTTATAGCCAGCTCTGATCTAATCTGGCCCAGTGGAATAACGATTGACTTCTTAACTGACAAGTTGTACTGGTGCGATGCCAAGCAGTCTGTGATTGAAATGGCCAATCTGGATGGTTCAAAACGCCGAAGACTTACCCAGAATGATGTAGGTGAGGCTTTGGGATGGGCGATTTTTTCATCTTGACTGAGTGTTTATGAGTGTTAAATACAAAATATGTTTACACACACACACATACCACTTAGCCGTATGGGTGAATATGGAATAGAGACAGACTTCTCCAGGGAATCATGAGCTGCAAAGCTTACCTTAACATTGGAATACGGGGTAAAAAATAGTGTTGCGTAATCATTTCTCTTTCTGAGAAGTCCCAAAATCAGAATGAAAATATTAAAATTTTCTAAACTCCTTTAGGAATAAGAACTTGGTTCAGCTGTTTTCATTTCTTATGTTTTAGAAAAGTTGTTTCACAACAGTGATATTATAGGCAATTTTAGGCATGAATGAATGTCAGTTGATAACTTGTGCAAAGATTAATATAGTTTCCTCCCCTATTATTTTCAGATTTTACATGGGGTGTCATATATTTTCATAAATATCTTTAAAACATTGTAGCTCATGCCAGCTGTTAAAAGAAGTACAAAATGGCAATGAAATAAGCAGTGGGAAATTTATTTTGACTCCAGGAATGTACAAAGACAGTATTTAAACTGGGCCATGTGGTAAATAGATGATGACAAAAGATTATAAGCCTGCAAAAATTGGCCTTTGTATGTTAGTACTACCAGGATATGTTGACTAAACTTAAATTCTGAATTTAGTAGAGGGGCATTGAATGTTCTTGCACATAAAATGTATATGTTAAGATTGGCATCTCTGGATAGCTGCTTAGGTAAAGTATAGGAGTTCGATTGGAATTTGGAGAGAAGGAAATCTGTTAGAAGCCTATAGTGGTTGTCCAGGCAACAACTGGTGATGGTCTGAGTTTGAACATTGTCATTTAAAAATGGAATGAAGGATTATGATATTAAAAATTATTGTGCATAAAAAATTAAGAGGATTTTGTAACAGATTGCATATAGAAAATGAGAGCCAGGGAAGTGTTGAAGATGCTTTGGAGAGTTAGAAATTGGTTGGGAAGATGAAAAAACATGGTTTCTCTCATTTAGGAAGAAGCTAACCAACTAATAATCTGTATAAGATACCTATTTTGCCCATTCTCTTTGGCTTAAGATAAGTATAATTTAAAATTTTATGTATTTATAAGATTCTCTAAAAATTAAAGATATACTTCACAATAAGTGATATGCTTATGCACAACCTTAGACTTTATCATCCTTTTACTTCAGGGGTATTTATTGACACATTACAGGAACTGAAGATACAGTGGAGGGTAAAACAAATATGATATCTGCAAAGCCAAGGAATCTAGTGCAGAACACATACATTACTAAAAAAAAAAAAATCATCCAGGCTGGGCATGGTGGCTCACACCTGTAATCCCAGCACTTTGGGAGGCCAAGGTGGGAGGATCACTAGAGCCCAGGAGTTCGAGTCCAGCCTGGCCAACATGGCGAAACTCTGCTCCACTAAAAATACAAAAATTAGCTGGGCATGGTGGTGAGTGCCTGTAATCCCTCTGCCACTCAGGAGGCTGAGGTGAAAAGATCACTTGAGCCTGGGATGTTGAGGCTGTAGTGAGCCGTGATTGTGCAACTGTACTCCAGCCTGGGTGACGGAGTGAAACCGTCTCAAAAAATACAAAAACCAAAAAATACATCACCCAAATAAATGTAAAATTGTATCTTTGACATAAAAAGGTAGAAAGGAATTTGAAAATTTCTAACCCGAATGTGAGGACACTATATTTTAAACTAAAAAGCATAGCAGATACTTTGTGTATCATTTATATTGCTACTATATTGTATGACTAATACAACTATTGAAGGCCATTATCAAATAATTTTATATTAAATTATGTAAGTAACATTCCCATTATTACAGTGCCATCTACTGGTATATATGTGGTGGCTTCCCAGCTGCCAGTTAAGAATTTCTTCTAAGAGTGGATGTTCCATGCTGTTACCACAAAAATGATAACTGAGGTAATGCATTTGTTAATTGGCTAGATTCAGCCATTCCACAATGTATATATATTTTAAAACATCATGTTGTATGCAATAAAAACATATAATATTGTTTGTACATTAAAAATGTATTTTAAAAGGTTGAAGATATTCTTAATTTAAAATGCAATTAATTGTGGTTCTTCTGTAAACAAAAAATAAGAAAGATTATGTCTAGTGTGAGGTATTTGTTTAAACACTATAGCTAATTCTAACATGTGCTTTAACATGGATTAATTCCTGAGGACATTATGCCAAGTGAAATAAGCTAGTCACAAAAAGACACGTACTGTACAATTCCAATTATTTGAGGTATCTAGAGTAGCCAAATTCATAGGAAAAGAAAGGAGAATGGTGGTTTCCAGGGGATGTGGGAGAGGAAATGAGAAGTTGTTTAATGGACATAGAGTTTCAGTTTTGCAAGATGAAAAAATTCTGGAGATTGGTTGTACAACAATGTGTGAATGTACTTAACACTACTGAACTTAGAAATGGTTGAGCTGTTAAGTTTTCTGTTATGCTTTTTCACCATGATAAAAAAGAACTATAGCTATGTTAAAAATTCCCTTGCTGTACTTAAGGCTTTAATTTGGGACAAAGGGCCAGAGACTAGAATGAATCTTAATGACCCTGATCAACAATGATAAGTGGAGACTCATTGTAACCAGAACAAGTTATTTGAGTTTGCCACCAGTAGGGGAAGACATTCATTCTAATCTGTCAAATCCATTGTTCGTTTACAAAAAGAGTGGTCTGTGGGAATGTGAGTAGCCTTGATTAAAACATCCAACTTCAGCCTCCTTAGCTTTAGTCTCTAACCACCTGAGATAGAACGTTAAAACATTCCCTTGCGTATTCAATACTTGCATGCCTTCTCAGAGCAGTTCCAGTGGCACAGAGAGGTAGGTTTGGTGAAGGTGGGCTCAGAAAGATGCCCACTTACTGTTAGTAGGAGGCATGAAAATGGAGGCAGCTGATAATAAATGACTCTTTCAAAAATGTGGCTAAAAAGGGAAGGAAAGAGACAAGGAGGAGCTAGAGGGGTCACGGGGATGAGGAAATGAAGATGGGAGAGAGGTTATAGTAGACAGAGGGAACAAAGCTAGTGGAATGAAGAGAGGGAAGATGTAAGAGAAAGGGGGTGGTCGTTGATGGATCCAGGCCCTAGAGAAGGCAGGAAGGGTGACATCAGGGGCACAGGTCAATATTAAATAAGGAGAGAGGGGAAAGAAGGTGGGGGACTAATGCAGGCAAATGTGTTGGTGGAGATGGGAATGTGGGGAGACTCTTATACAATTACCTCAAATTTTGAAAAATCCTTACAAGAACTTGTGAATTTGATCTACCCCTTATTACTGCTGCTCAAAAGAGTAGGAACCTAAGGCAAAGAGTGGTAAGATAAGTTACTCGAGTTTAGTCTATAAGTAGCGACAGATGTACTAAACAAGGAAAATTCCACCTTTCTCCTTCATGGGGCTAGGACGACAATCAGCCCACATTCTCCCACTCTGCAACTGCTGGGTGATAGTGGGCCTTGCTGGGACCTCATGCCACTATGCTCCCATTCTAAGGTGACGTTCCCTCCTCATGTGGGCTTTCCTTGAGGCAGGTGTGTGAGTCGGTGGCTCACTCATAACTTGCTGAGTAGCTAAAGAGCTGATTTAGTGTAGGAATGTTGTGTAAATTTCAAGCCTTGTCCTTTCGTAAATAGTCATTGCAAAGACAAAGAAGGTGTATTTAACAAACTTGAATTGTTTCCAGGTCACCCATTTGCTGTAGCAGTGTTTGAGGATTATGTGTGGTTCTCAGATTGGGCTATGCCATCAGTAATGAGAGTAAACAAGAGGACTGGCAAAGATAGAGTACGTCTCCAAGGCAGCATGCTGAAGCCCTCATCACTGGTTGTGGTTCATCCATTGGCAAAACCAGGTACATACTGGAGATGTTACACAGTCTTTCCTTGGCTGGAATCTGCAACTGTTTTAATTGTTTGATGTCATGCAGTTGGCGGGGGGGTGGAGGGGATTTTGTAACTTTCACTAACTGTGTAGATGTTAAGATTTTCTAAGATTTAAGTTTGTTTAAGACAATCTGGTAGTTTGGTAATTGGGGCTTTATCCCTCCAATTTCACCTCTTTTCTTGAACAACTTTTACTTACCTGCTGCATTTCGAAGAGCCTTGGGTTAAGGCAGGCAATTTAGACACCGGCAGTGGAAGCTTCTGTCGACACTTGGACCTTTCCATACCCCTGAGGAGTGAGCAAATGGAAAAGGCATTTCACATTTTATAGTAGCTCTTCTTTCTGAATTGCTCTTTGTCAGTTTGACTAGATGATGAGTCAGGAAATAAGAATCACATTTGACTAAAGAGCTTCTTGAAAAAAGTGCTGGCTATACCCAGTACTAATAAGGTAATAACATTCTGGGCTTATCTTAGAATCAGTGGCTCCTTGGGGGAACTCTTCTGAAATAGCTATTGATATACCCTCTATTTAGATACACTGCATTTCTCTCCCTAAAAGCTATAGCTCCCTAAAAGCAAGCTGTAGACTTGCATTAATGGCATCCTTTTCATCTTCAAACCCACTTGTGAATTTGTTTCTTTTCTCTACTAGGAGCAGATCCCTGCTTATATCAAAACGGAGGCTGTGAACATATTTGCAAAAAGAGGCTTGGAACTGCTTGGTGTTCGTGTCGTGAAGGTTTTATGAAAGCCTCAGATGGGAAAACGTGTCTGGCTCTGGATGGTCATCAGCTGTTGGCAGGTAATATAATAAATTATGTGGCAAATTACCTAACGTTGGCTCAGAAATACAGCTGTACATCAATCTTTATGCTTTTGCTGATTTTGAATATTTTGGATGTTAAAAGTTCTCCTGTTTTTAGGAATGCTAAGAATTTGTTTGTTTATTTGTTCTCTTCTGCTGAGTTTTGAGTTCCTTATTACAGGCAAAATTCAATTGACCTCTAGTGGTAACAGTCTTAAGCTCCAAGCCCTCCACCTCCCCATTTATAGTGGAGTGGGTCCCAGGCTTGGAAATAAATGCCAAAATGCTATCACCTCACAAAAATGTTCAGCGATATTTTGTTTAGAAGTTTTATGTCCTCAATTTTAGAGGTAGTAGTATATGATCTCTTATCACATGACAGGTCTTAATAAGAAAATCAAAGTCCTTTATAAAAAATAACTTCAGGATATCAGACAAATGTGGGAAATCCAGCCTGAGAAGGCTTGTGATGTACTTTTTTACAAACTAGATATGACTTTGAGGAAGAGGAAGAGTAAACCAAGTGTGAGGTATAACCAGTAGTACTTATTTGCCTCCCTTGAATGTGCACCCAAACAATCTGGGCATCTGTGGATTCATCCCTTGATATCTTTCTAGCAGAAATATACCAAAGATAATTTACATTTTATTAAATTTTTTAAAAATTTATATTTATCTGGTAGGCATGGTGTAAATATAAGTAAAGTAACAGATTGATGAAAAATAAACAAAAGTTATGCAATGAAAAAAAGAGGCTAGTTTCAGCTCACAATTCAAAATTTACTTATGTTTTTCCTCTAGCTAACCATCATAACTTTAGTATGCACTGAAAGAATTTATATGCATTTCTTATTTTATTACATAGAGTGTTAAAAAGCTGTGTAGTCAATGGTCAAGAGTTTTAAAAATTAATAATTCTTATTGATTCACAACAATCTTCTTGTGAAACTGGGTTTTATTTTTATTTTTTGAGACAGGGTCTCCCTCTGTTGCTCAGGCTGGAGTACAG